>NC_000003.12:169463149-169614664 GCF_000001405.40 Homo sapiens | reverse complement strand
GTTTCTATCACTTAGGCCTGTTTAATTACATAATACATGGTTGTAGCTTATTTCTTTAGTAGTGATAGGTTCTTGAACCGTGGAAATCAAGCAGCCATAAATGTTTAAAAAGGAATCCGGGCCAGATTTATTCAAAGGAATCCGACATTTGTAATATGAAGACTATTTTAAAAATAACCAGCCTTTTGTTTAACTATTTTGAAGTCCAGAGTTTCCTTATTGTTTTTTAATGTTGGGCATTTGTTTATATCATTTTTATTGATTTGAAATTAATCCAGTGGTGTATATGCATGAGGGTAGTTGCTAGGCTCGGTTTTGGAGAAAGATCTTCACTAGAGGAAAAGGAAAACCTAAAGCTCTGTTTAAGTGAGGGAGGAATTTTGGACAGGCATCCTCAGTGATCTAGTATTTTGTTAAGAGTATGGGAAAGAGATATATTTTTATCCTGGAGTCATTCTGAGTCTTATGCTCATCAGAAATTCCCATGCTTTAGTTTGTGTGTGTGGGAAAGAGATGAGAGAGAGAAAGAGAGAGAGAGAGAAAAAAAAAAGAAAAAAGAAAAAGAAAAGAAAAGAGAGGAGAGGAGAAGGGAGGGAAAGTGAATGAAGAATCTTATGGTGAAATGAGATGAATTAATGCATATGTGAGCTCATCAGTTTTTATTAATGAGAAAATAACAAGCACCATTAAACAAAAACATTAGATCTAAAAGATGGAACATAAGACCACCTTATCTAGTTACACTTTAAAGGGTATTTTAACAAGGGGCTAAGACTGAGCCTAGTTCTAGTTCCTTGTCAGCAGAAGGGACTCTGTTTTACTCATTTTATCCTCCGTGCCTAGGTGAGAGACTGGCACAGAACAGGTACCCAGTAAATGAATGTGGAATGAATAGAGCTAGAGACCTTGGTTTCTGCAGAAAGATCTCCAGACCTTCAGAGAAAACATCTCACCTCAGAAGGTATTCACTGGCCAGATGCCACATTCTCCTTGAAGTCAGGCTGCCCCACTGAACTCACTGGCTTTGAAGCAGAGTAAGGCCTGCTCAGGAACCCAGCGGGAAGTCTTGTGTCTGTGACCTGGGCCCCCATGGTTAGAGTCAGGAGATTAGAGTGTCCTTGCTCCAAAGCCAGAGATACAGACCCAGATTACTCAGGGTCACAGGTCCACATTCTTGTATGCAGCAGGAGCATTAATTAGTGACAATTACCTATTGGAAAAAAGAAGTCGAGTCCTGAGTGTCCCTTCCAAAAAACTTAAAGACAGAAGGAAGCTTCTAACAATGGGTCAGGGGAGATGCATTTCCGCCCCGATGTTAAAAACAAGGTGCTGTCTAATTGATGAGTAGTAGGGGCTTGCAGAGACGCTTTGATGAGCCATCTCCTGCTTCCTGATATTGTGACCTCTCAACAAACACTGACAAATAAAACCAGCATGTCTTCGATATAAATGAGAGCACACTATCTAAGGAGATGCTTCGTTCTCAGGATGTGGTTGAAATCCTGTTATGAATAAGGTTTACATCCTTGCCACTGAAATAATATTTTTGTACTGTGGAAATCAATGGTAAGGAAAAAAATGAACAGGTCATCTAATATGTAAACAATTTAACTTTGATGTAATCTCTTGTTTGCTGGATTTGGTCCTGGGGAAAGTCAAAGGACTTTCTTAGTTACTTAGTTGAATCTCTCACCTTTTCTCTGTCTTCTCATTTAACTTCTCTTCTCTTACCTTGCAGAGCATTTTGATGATGAGTCCAGCTGAAAATAGTGTTGTGTCAGGAATTCAGACTTACGGCCTAACCCTTTCTCTTGTGGGGAAATCTTTAGGTGTATAGGACAGTGCTAATGGTGATTTAAAGTAGAACCAGCAGAGGTTTGGTCTGAGGGAAGGTGAAAGCACGTATTTTATCAAGTTGAGAACCTGTAGAGAATTTGTGGGTTCTATGTTTCAAACAGAGCTCAAATCTTTTGAGGCTCAAGTTCCATTTGCTCTTGGCAAAACACAATTTCCTGGTTCAAAAGAAAATAAGCACATAAAAAAAGGGCCCCCAGGCTTCTTGGACATCAAAGCTTACGAGATACTCTTATAAAACAGCATTTGGATGATTTTTAGATTATAGGAACCAGGAACATACAGATTAAAACTACCCTTGAACTACCCTTAAGTTAAAAAGAAAAAACAAGACAAAAAGCCAAGGGCAAAGCTGTTGGCAAAGTGCATTACACTTTGGATGTTTTTGCCAAAAGTGAGACATTTTAGTTAGTCTTCAAGCTCACCCTCCTTTCAAATTTTTTTGTAAAATCTCAGCAATGTCAAGATTCCATTTCAGCTTCTGCCTGATATCTCTTGAACTTCACATCTAAAGGGGTAGCCATGATTCTTTTGAACCAACAATTTCTTTAAGAAATTATGTCCATATTTTCGTTTGATGTTCAAGCAACTTTGATTAATATATCCTTTAACATAAATACCAAATATCGACTAATATGTTAAAAAGCACATTGTTTTAAAAAATCATTCTAGATTAGTGATTCTCAACTGGGAGTTATTTTGATTCCCAGGGGACATTTAGTAATATCTGGAGAAATTTTTGGTTGTCATAACTCATAACTAGAGATTCGGGAGGTTGGCTACTAGCACCTACTGGGTAGAGGCCAGGGACACACTGCTCAATATTTTATAATGCACGGGACAGCTCCCCATCACAAAGAATTATCTGGCTCAAAATGTCAATAGCGTTGAGATTTAGAAACCGTGTTCTAGACTCTGGAGGATCATAGATATTATGATTTCCAGCTACTTAAATTTATCCCAACCAAGATTGATGTTCTTTACTGATTTCTGGACATAATTATCAGACTGGGGGAAGAAAGAAGAATAAAAATGAGAATAAGGAAGAGAGAGATATCTGTAAGACTAAAATAATCCTTTGGGTACTAAGGTCACCATATCTGTTCCATTATAACTAAGGAAAATAAAATATTTTAAAAAAGATATATAGTGATTTTGAGGTCCAGAGATTATTAGCTGTTATAGGAACGCTCTTTAAGTCAGAAGGAAAGCAATGGAAACAGGACATGTTAATATTCTTTTTGCCATTGTTTGTATGCTACTACGTGCAACTAAAAACTGAAGCTTATGAAACACTTCCACTCCTCACAACTGCCTGACTTGCTTGTTTGCCCATGTTGGTGTTTATTCCATCATTCATTCATTCATCAGACATTGATGCACCCTCAGAAAAGACAGGGTTAGGGGGACAAAATGTGTGAATGGAAGCGTTCCTCCGCATGGTTGAGAGCTGCAGGATCCCACAGACAAGTCAGCTGAGGCAGAAGTACAAGGCCTGTATTATGATTCGGCATAATGTACAAATTGCATTGGAAGAGACAGTGGCAGTGCCCGAGGCACTATCTGTCACTCTTGGTGAATTTGCAAATGCCTATCATAGAGGCAGTTTCCCAAGAGACAGAATGGTATCCTTTGGGCAAGGTTTCCTAAGCTTAGAACCACCTGAAGCATGTGTTAAAAACCGCAGCAGCAGCAGTATCAACAAAAACAGATTTATCAGCTCCACTTCAGCTCACTGACTCAGAATCTACAGGAATGGGTAATTTTTAACAAATGCTGAAGGTGGTTTTTATCATAAGGCAAGTTTAGGAAACTCTCCTCTTAAGACCAGTAAACTGTGAAACCCACAGAGGAAACCTGAGTTTAGAGTCCCATCCTTAGCCCTATCATTACCCCACACAGACTCAGTCATCCATTCATTCAGCAAACACCTTTTGTGCATCTACTATGTGCCAGCCTTGTTCTAGAGGCTGGGGATATTGTGAATAAGACTGACAAGGTCCCTGCTCTCATAGAGCTTATATTCAGACTCACCAGTGAGAACTGAAATAACTGTGGAGTATTTCACCCAAGAAGTGTCTTCCATTATGTGGATGAGAAAGGCAGAAAGAAGCTTTGTATTCTGGAGTAATGTAGGGAAGCATTCCCTCTTATGCACATGTACACAGCAAATATGTTTCTGGTGTCCAGAAATATCTATTATACTTACTATTTGTATGAGTTTGGGAAAATTGTTTGACGCCTCTGTGCTCAGTATCCCATCTGTAAAATAGGGATATTATACACACACACACACACACACACACACACACGTAACATTACATATATATCATTTACCATACAGAGTTGTTTCAAGGATTAAATTGGTCAACACTTTCAAAGTGCTTAGACAAGAGCATGTCACATGGTAAACACACAATATTATTTGCTATTATCATCCTCATTCTCATCATTGTCATTATCATTATCATATTCTTCCCTTTCCCCCATTACATCCCATGATTCCAGTGCCACTGAGGGGAAAATATGTTTGGCAACCCTAGTAGATCGTATTCCTTTATTTACATAGGCATCCACTTTTATACATATATATGTACTGAGAACTTGCCAAATTCAGGGCTTGGAACTAGGGTGTTAGAAATGTAAAAATAAGCTAGTAATATAAAAATATAAAAATAAGTGGAGTAGTTAAGCTCAATTGACAAAAACCTGTAGTTTAGGTAGAAGGTGATTATAAGAGTACAAATAAAGTATTCCAAGGGTTCAGAATAGAAAATGATTTCTTCCAGCTTGGGGACATTTGGGAAATTGGGATATCCTTTGGGGAAATGTAGTAATCAGTATATTCTGGGAAAACATAGTAGAGAATGAATAAATAAATTCCATTGAATTTGGAATATGTTGTCCATTCTCCCTGTAACTAATGCTATCAAGATAAAGTAGAAATACCACATTTCAGAAACAGCTGGAGTAGACAGGTCTTCATAGGCTAGCTTGGAAACCTAATAGCTATTAATAATGAAATTTTAATTATACTCTGGATTCTAAACAATGAACACACAGTGATCTTTTTGACTTGCTGCTTGTTTATAAGTTGGGGATGGTCTGAATTCATTGTTGATTCAAAAGAAAACGAATAGTGTTTTAAACCTTTTATTTACAGAGACTATAATTTGTCACCTTCCTACCAACATATCTTAAATACACCAAGACCTTTTACAGAAGCTTAAACAAGGGTGTACAGCTCTTGTTTTACTCCTCTCCCACCAATCTGCTTTAGCTTATCTGGACTTTGGTATGTAATTTGGAAATTGGGCTATGTTTTCCTCACTTAAATTGCAAAAAAAAAAAAATGATTAACTGAAATAACACTGCACATTATTCAGATTTAATTATGTTTGTAATACATCACCCAGTGATATGGGGCAACTTTTTGCTGTTCACTTTCCATCATGCATTTCTCATAACATATGGTCCTCATGAAATAGTTTTGATTCAGAGTCCCCAGTAGCATATGGCAAAAAAAAGGCCCCTCAAGTCACATGCAAAGTAGAGGCTAGCCTCTGTGCCCCAGAGGAGGCTCCATTGACTGCAAGCCAGCAAGCCTGGAATCTGAATTGGTGTCAGGGTCCCACTCATCATGAAGATTTTACATTTGGTTTGGGACTTTGGAGCATGAGGCTCTGGATGTAAAAGTCAGAAGAGATATGGCTTTTGTAATGTCTGCAGAGATTCCTGTGTCGATAAGGTCAGCAGAAAGTTAATAGATTTTTATCTTCTCATCACATGAACTTAATATAGTGCAACTGTTTGGTGCGGGTGAGATGGCGTAATGGGATGAGAATCCCATCACGCGTCTCAGATTTTTCACAAAGGATGTTTTAGGTCTGTAAGTGCATTTTTGCTTAAGGCTAAAAAAATCTATTACTCATTTACATAATAAAACTGTTAAATAAAAACTTTAAATGCTGTGCAACAACTCTGGCTAAAAACAATTTTAGTCAGAGCAGAACATGTTTTTTTCCTTTGTGCAGGTTATTCAATTACATATGAGTAAGAAAAGCTTGCATTTATCGTACTTTAACAGAACGTGAGCCAGTTCAACTTAAATGCCTTTAAGCAAATGCTCAGAGCCATAAGGCAGTTCCATTAGGACTGCTTCATCCTTACACCAGACTCTTAATAACTGCCGTGTGCCTGCCCTGAAGGGAAGGTCCTTTTGCCAGGCACTGGTACATGACTGGAAACACAAATGGAGGGAGGATGGTATGTGTGAATCCTGCCACCAAGACTCGCTTTAGGAGGGGATGTGGGGAAATGTGGAAGAAAAAACACCAGGCTGACTCCAGATGCCACCTTTGAAAATCTCTAGGTCATATTACTTTCAAACCAACCTACTGACTCGAGATCTGCTTTCAAGGCCACTCTGATCAGCTGCCCGAATTGGCTGTGAGGGTGGTTTCTGCAAACTAGGGATGCTCATAGGGGTATGCAGGAAAGCTGGGAGGCTGAAATGCAAGGAAACCCATGGAGGGACAGCACCAGGTCAGACTGACTAGCAGGCCTCAGCGATCAAACACGTCACACCTGTCTTGGCCACTGGTGCAGGTGTTCTAGGTCAGCTCTCACTGTGGTTATCAATCGCTGACAGTTGACAGTTTAATTTTACACCACAAGTACCTCATTACTTGTGTAGGCACTTGAAGAACATGTGGGCACTGGATCGGATCAGTGATCAATGACAAAGGTTGCATAGGGTGCAAGTGGTAGCAGTAAAAGTGAAGGTCTCCGTGCATGAGTTGGCAGTGGTAGGGATACATGACAAGGGGAGTTTAACTGACAAACAGTCTGTCAGGTTGAAAAGAATGGAGATTTGCCAGAGAGCTGGCTGTAGATTATAAAATATATCTCTTGATTTCAGGGGAAGGAAGAGGGGATAAAACCCCACCCCAAGCAGAGCCTTCCATTCTTGAAAGCGCTTACGCAAATTTAATGAATGTGTGGGATAGTAAATTTTTATTCTACGAGTGTTTATCTCATGACATAGACGCATTCAGGTGTGTAGGGATTTAAGATTATAGCAGGATTCAGTAATGCTATTTCATAAAGGGTGTGTGTTTGTACGTGTGTGCACACATCACACCAACTTTACCAAACCAGACCCATTGCTGTTTTAGATTGTTCCATGCCAGCTTATTATGGATATTCAATAACAAGAAAGTCATTCCACGTGAGTCCTTCTATTCTTACCAATACGATTTGTGGTCAACACCACCAAAATTGATTGTTTTATAGTGGTAGGAGAAAAATAAATTTTTTCAAGTATCTTTTGTAGTGGTATTTTAATAAATTCCTTGCAATTTCCCTCTCCCCTCAACTTTTTATTTTCTAAAAAGGAGTTTCTGACTTTTTTTCTTACACAAATATTTCTGCTGGTGTTGTTATTTTATGAAGAGACATTGGCTTTAAGAAAAAAGCCACATGGCATGAGTTTTATTTCATATTATGTGCTTTGTCTGTTGGAGTAAGACTCATTAGGCACACTGTACATAGCGTGGTAGAAGGAAGATGGATATCGAGACAAAAAAACCTGAGTTTGAATTCTACCTTGGCCACTTCCTGCTGTGGCGCTTGGGAGAATTATTAACAGCTTCAAGTGTGTTGTTCATTTATAAAGATATTATATTGCCTCCGTAAGTATCTAAAAAATTAAAACTTTTTTTAAAGTATTATAATACAGGATTGTGGAAAGAGTTCAATGAGGTTAAAATGGCGGAGACTCCAAATTTTCTCCCAATATCTATTCCCCTTCTCTGTCCTTTTAATAACACTACGACTTGAGCTATACTGAGGCATATGGCTATTCAGTTATAGGCTACATTTCTAGCCTCCCTTGGAGGAAGACATGATCATGCCATTAGGATTCTGTTCAATAGAATGTGAACAGAATTATGTTTAAATTATCTGCAATTTATAAAAAGAAGCTTCCTGTCCACCTTCCCCTCTTTTCTCCCTTCCTGCAGGTGGGAAAGTAGATGGATGGTAGTGAGTCAGCTCTGACCATATGGAGGAGAACAATACCCTAGGAGATGGCAGAGCAATAAGCGAGGAGGAATCTGGAACCCTGAATGTTCTTGCAGAGCAGAGCTTCCTACCTGTCTGGGACTGCCTGCCTAACTTGGGACTGTTATACAAAAAAGAAAGACATTTCTTTCCTGTTTAAGCCACTGTACTTTGCGGTGGTTTTGTTTCAGCAGCTTAGTCTGTATGCTAACTAGTAGATCTAATACTTGTAAAACACCAAACATAGGCTGGCACATAGAAGCACACCAACACGTTTATCATTTAAAACACTGGGTATCATTTAATTTCTTTCATTTCTTTTTCTTTTTTTTTTTTTTTGAGACGAAGACTTGCCCTGTCACAGGCTGAAGTGCAGGTGTGATCTTGGCTTGCTGCAAACTCCGCCTCCTGAGTTCAAGCGATTCTCCTGTCTCAGCCTCCCGAGTAGCTGGGATTACAAGCATGCACCACCACACCTGGCTAATTTTTTGTACTTTTAGTAGAAATGTGGTTTCACTATGTTGGCTAGGCTGGTCTTGAACTCCTGATCTCAGATGATACACCCGCCTCAGCCTCCCAAAGTGTTGGGATTACAGGCGTGAGCCACCGCACCTGGCCTCTTTTAATTTCTAATCAAAGTAGTGGATACCACTTGGAATATTTAAATATTAACCATAAGGCATCTGGGCTAGGTTAAATAATCATTCTTTCCTTCCACTCCTAAACTGGTCCTACCAGTCAACTTTCACCTGCTTGGAAAATGATCACATTTTCAGGTTCTGGTTTCTTTACAGAGTCATCTCTCTCATTCTGTCTATGATATTTCACTCAAGATTCAGAGGTATAAATAAACTTCACTTTACCTCACAGCATCAAATGCGTTACATCATTTATGAAAACTAGTTTACCATGATTACTTACCACATGATATCCATGGCTTCTGTTTAAAAAAGTTGGGTAAACTTTAAGATTAATGATAATCTCTGGGAAAAGACACATAGGGTTCCAGAGCATCAATCAATACATTGATGATTTAGCCTATAGGCAACTCAGGGCAACCTAGATAGGTTCTTAGTGGTACTGCATCCTCACCTGATCACACGACATTCTTTTCACTCTTCTCTTCCTTCACCATCACCTCCTGCCTTCCAGTGGGACTCTTTCTGTCTTGCTTAGTCTTGTCGTCTAGCACAGACCGGCACCCTCCAGCATTGTCTAGTTTTCACTGTAGCACACAGGGCTAACAGGGTTACTGTTACTCATTTCTGTGATACAGACAAAATTTTGTCACTTAATCTCTTTTCTTCCAGAGTTAATGTCTATTACCCCTGTGCCTACAGAAAAAAGAGTAAGAGCTAGCATGTGTCTGAGTTTAAAAATATATAACTCTACTTTTTTCCTTTGTGTAGTTTTCCTTTAGTTTGAATAAAGCTTAAGGGACATGGCAGCTACCATGAAATAGCTGAAAGTGTTTGTTTTTCAGAGGTGGATCTAAACTTGTTCTGTCCAGTGCTCAAGGCAATGTCTACTGGCTGGCAGTTACTTGGGAGGCAGTATATATCATCTTCTTTCCTTAAATGGTACCTTTGTGTCTAGGAATCCGAGAGCCAGGTTATTTTTTTCGGCATTTCTGCAATTGACTAAACCTCCCACTCAGAGTTTTCTGACCTTCCATCCGTATAATGTTGCCTCTGGGAATTTGTATGTGTTTCTTAATGGTATCTATAAACAAAGACCAGCATTTCTACTCTTGCCCTTTAGATAATATCAAGCAGAAAGAGATACTAATTTCATTCTGTCTTAAATAGGATTCATGCTGCGATGGGTATGAAGACATGTGAGGAAAAGGGAAAAATGAGATACCCCCAAGAATACTGTTTCTACAAGCTCAATGTCCAACAGCTTCATTTTCTGTTGTCATGTGCCCACTTTTAGGGATGGGAGGTTTTTCTGTTCTCTGTCAACTTCCTCTAGAGGGCAGCTCATGGAAGGATGCCCTGCAAGTCCCTCTTGAGTTTCTTAAGATGTTTTGGGGCCCTTTCAGAGGGCAGCTCTTCTGGGAGACTGCCTCTTGGTAGCCCTGGGGAAGTAAGTCCTTGGTCCCACTCCTGGGGTTTGGAGAGGACAGCTGGGTCCCTGACACTTCCTGGGCTCCCTGTGTCTTCAGCTGTCTGACCCCATGATCTCCCAGCTCTTCCCTGCACAAGTCCAGTCCTCCAGTCTAGTTTTCTGCCTAGCTGCTTCCACAGGGCTCAGGGGTACAAATGCAAAGTAGTCCCAGCCAGAGTCTTTCTTCCAGCCCATCATTAACAAGGGCATGGGCCAGTCACTTAATCTCTCTACACCTCAGGTTTCTCGTCTGTGAAATGAGAAGCATGAACTAAATTGGTGGTTTTCAAATTGTACTCCTCGGCATCCCCTCAGGGGAGCTAGTGAGTATGTGTATGTGAATGAGAGAAGGAGGGAGGGAGGGAGAGAGAGAGAGAAAGAGAGAGAGGGAGGGAGGGAGAGAGAGAGAGAGAGAGATTTCTCTCTCTTTTGTATATTTAAATCAAAGCTCAGTTAATTTAAACTGCCTTGCAGGTAAATCTTTCTCATGCTTACACACAAATACTCATTAATACTTTTCTCTTTCTAGCTGCTCCCCTCCACTCCGTATCATTTTTCTTTCTCTAAGGGAAATTTTCGCTTAGAGAAAAAGGCAATTACACAAACTTCCTTAGAAACTTTAAAAACTGTCCCTAAAGAATCCAGGGCTCCTAACTGCCAAAGATCTTAGAGTGCCAAAAAGCTTCTTCAGACTCTCTACAGAGTCTCTGTCAGTCTGATAAATCTAGTAAAAATGACATTTTCTTAAGTTTTGAGATAAGCAAACACAGTCATGCATAGTTATGACAGGGGTATGTTTGGGAATGCTTTCTGAGAAACGTGGCATTAGACAATGCCATTGTTGTGGGTACATCATTGAGTGTACTTACCCAAACCTTAATTTAGCCTATTGCACATTGAAGCCGTATGGTGTACCCTGTTGCTCCTAGGCTACAAACCTGTACAGCATGTTACTGTACTGAATACCATAGGCAATTGCATAACATAGAAAATGTATAGTAAAAATACAGTGTAAAAGAAAAAATGGTACACCTGTATAGAACACTTGCTACCCATGGAGCTTGCAGGACTGGAAGTTGCTCTGGGTGAGTTAGTGCATGAATGGTGAGTGAATGTGAAAGCCCTGGACTTTGCAGTACACTGCTGCAGACTTTATAAACACTGTACACTTTAGACTACACTAAATGTATACAAAAATTTTTCTTTCTTGAATAATAAATTAATCTTAGCGTATGGTAATTTTTTTTTACTTTGTAAACTTTTTAAACTTTGACTCCTGTGCTAACAGCTTAAACATACATTGTACAACTGTACAAAAATATTTTTTATATCCTTACCTTATAAGCTTTTGTCTATTTAAAAAATTTTAAAAAACTTTAAAAACTTTCTTTTAAAAACTAGGACACACACACATTAGCCTAGGCCTACGCAGGGTCAGGATCATCAAGATGTCACTTAAGTGACAGACATTTTTCAGCTCTGTTATAATCTTATGGGACCATTGTTTTATATGTGGCCCATTGTTGACCAAAACCTCATGATGTGATGTGTGACTGTATATAATTTGTTATTCAATATTTATTTTTCATGGTATTTAATTACTGATATTACAATAATATATTCCCTGTAAGTTAAATATGTGTGTATGTGGTATTTGTCTATGTGCATATATGAGTGAATATATGTATTGGGGGCTAGCCTGTGAACTTATTCACCACATATAATAAACATTTCTATGGAGAAAATTGGTGGTATGTTTCTAACGAGCATTTCAAAACTTTCAGAACATAGTTTTTTTGTAAGTTGCAATCTTGTGGATTACTTTCATAGCTCTGCAGCTCATGAGTGATTGGGGAAGGGAGGACTCTGTGGGGTCTGGAAACTCCCTATGCCTTCAGATTTATTTTAAATGTTATTTATTTTTTCTTTTTGACTAAATATTTCCTTCCTCTTTTGGTATACGTCAGAAGTCCTCAACCAGAGATGATTTTTCTCCCTGGGGTAAAGTTGGCAATGTCTGGAGACATTTTTGGTTGTCACAAGGAGTAGGCAGCCTCTAGTGGGTTGTGCTATTGGCATCTAGTGAATAGAAGCCAGGGATGCTGTTAAACATCCTACAATCAGGACAGCTCCCAACAAAGAATCGCCTGGGCCAAAATGCCAATAGTGCTGAGGTTGAGAAATCTGATATTGGTGGATAAAGGAGTCAGGTCCCTGACTAGCCAGTGAGAAGGGGTATAAAAATACTATTTGAGCATAAAGGCTCCTTTCCCCCGATTCCAGCCTCTCTTCTTGTATTATTTCCATAATTTAGATTTAGGTGGTTAAGGCTATCTGGAAAAGTTAGTCATTTGCTAGCTGACGAATAGAGAACATCTCTCTAAGTTCATAATCTTTGGAAAGTTGGCTGCTGGCTACTCATTGTGTAAAGGTGCCATATCCATCTACCAAATATCAGATACATAAGTTTTTTTACTTAAACCACCATTCAAATCAGAGTATATCTCTGTTTCTAATGTTCTGAGTTTGAAGTTGTGTGTTTATTGATCAAGAACAATATTTAGGACACTAGTATGCATTAGCATACTAATTCTTCTTTCCCCATACGTGGTAATTAATGGGTTCCTCTTCTTGAAGGGGGATGGTATTTATAGGAAAGTGCAAATTTCATTTCATTTATTGTCAGCAGTGGATTTTTCTTTTGAGGCTCATGACCAATCATGGATAAAATTAGAAACAGATGGAAAAGTTGCCCTTGTCAATAAATATAGCAGCATTGCAGGGTATTTTTAACCTTTAACCTACATGTAGAATATTATCAATTAAATTTTGGAATTTGTGCAGTTTTAATCAGTGTTACTTGTGTCTTTTGCATAGTTGCAATTTAGAAAGTTTATGTGATTCTTTCTTTTGGGATGGGGCACATTTTCATGTCTTCTAAGTGTGACGTGAGCCTGCAGATGGAAGGTTGTTCTGTGAATAGGGGGAATCTTGTCAATTCACAGGTTCAGAGAGAACACCTTTTTCCTCAGCAGCTGAACTCAGCCATGCATGGTGAGAGAGTTTAGCAGTAAAGCTACCTTGTTTCAAGGTGTTTTTCTACTGCGGCGCAGGACCATCCTTCTGGAACTCAATGGTGCTGTACCATCCAACATTCCCATGTAAGAGGCCTGGTGAGTTACACTCAGTGCTCTATTCCTTGTGGGAATGAGGCATGCCTGGCTTTGACATCTCTGCTGCCTTCCTCTTTTATAAACCCCAAAAGGTGTTAGAGATGCTGTGGAGAATAGTTTTCATATTCGGCAGAACCTCCAGGTTCTTCTTTTCCCCCTGGTTCTGAAAGAAATGATTTTTAAGCCTTAACCTACTCATCAACTCAGTTCCTTGCTGAGATTTGCCCTGGACTATTTTTAAGCTGGGAGTTGGCACAGGGAAAAGGCTTATAAAACTATGAGGTTGGTTTGAATTTGGGTTTGTGGCGACACCTAAGTGTAGGTGCCTTACCACCTGGCTTTTAGCTTCATTCTAAGAGTCTTCCTGGCTTTCATGGTACATGTAATTTTGACCACAAATAACTTTAGAGAAGTCTAATGCTGGAGCGATTATTGCATAAATCTCCAGATGTAGAAATGGAGTTTTTGAAGTTTGATTGCATATTCCTAGCTGCAGTCCTAGGATCTTGAACCACTGAATGAAAATATTGCAAAAGAATGCTTTAAAACGGAAGTCCTGTGGAGTGTTTCTCAGGCTGGCCTTTCTACTCTACTTTCCAAATGAAGAAAATAATTAGTCTTTTTACTTTATTCAAACATTTAGCCATTGTGTCTTGGAGCTCAGCCAAAAATAATCACCTGAAATTTTGTTTATGATTTATTCACAAAAGTGGCCATACTTTTTAAAGGAGAGCAAAAAGAGAACATTTTAAGAATGTGTGAGCTCATTATGAGCCCAATATGTTTTAAAAACATTCAACTTGTAAACTCCTGAAATGCGGTTTATAATGGAAACACCAGCCGAGTTTCCTGGAGTGGGCCTGAGTCTACCAATTTCTAAGCCTTTTGCAGACCTAGTTCCTCTTGAAGGGAGAAAATTAATCATGGCCCCTGGGTAACTGGTGTTTCTTGTTTTTGGACATCTAAATGATACTTAGCACATTTTAGGGATACGTGTGCATGTGAATTATTTGTAGATATAGTGCCTACTTTTCTACCTTCCTATTATATATTTAAACTCTGTTTTCTTGAGAAAACTATGGGTGACTAATTCTTGACTTTCTCTATTTTTGCTTAGTTTTTTAATCCCTTGGGGAGTACTTATAATTTGCTATGATTTTATGTTAATCTCAGTTTAAAAAATTTATAAGTAATGGCTGGGCACGGTGGCTCATGCCTGTAATCCTAGTACTTTGGGAGGCTGAGGTGGGCAGATCACATGAGGTCAGGAGTTCAAGACCAGCCTGGCCAACATGGTGAAAACTTGCTTCTACTAAAAATACAAAAATTAGCTGGGTGTGGTGGCACACACAGCTAATCCCAGCTACTCGGGTGGCTGAGGCACGAGAATGGCTTGAGTCCAGGAAGTGGAGGTTGCAGTGAGCTGAAATTGCACCACTGCACTCCAGCCTGGGGGACAGAGCGAGGCCCTGTCTCAGAAAAAAAAAAGTAAGTCAAGAGGTAGTTGTGCAGAATATTACATATATCCATACATAAATCTTCAACTGGCATAGTGTTAATTATGACTTCCTTTTAACTGGCAGGTTCCTACATCTAGAAGACAAAGGAAATTATAATGATGTACAGTCTTTGAAATTCCTGAATATCTCTTTGAATGATCAGGGAATTAATCAACATATTTATCATGTTGTGGTGTTGAGTGTATTTGATTCTTTCCCTTTTATTCTTTCTCTTTTTGCAAATTGCTAATTTATGTGTAGTATAGCACTTGGTCAACAAAGCCATTTCTCAACCATTCCCAGTGAGAGAATTGATTGTTGGTACAATGGAACATCTTCACAAAGCTTATATTGGGAACCAGCTTATTCTTGTCTAAAAGTTAAATGTATCATAGCAGACTTTCACTATGTAGTTTTTCCATATACAGGTTTACACTTTTTTTTTTTTTTTTTTTGAGACAGAGTCTCACTCTGTCGCCAGGTTGGAGTGCAGTGGCTTGATCTTGGCTCACTGCAACCTCCGCCTCCTGGGTTCAAGTGATTCTCCTGCTCAGCCTCCCGAGTAGCTGGGACTATAGGCATGCGCCACCACGCCCAGCTGATTTTTGTATTTTAAGTAGAGATGGGGTTTCACCATGTTGGCCAGAATGGTTTTGATCTCTTGACCTCGTGATCTGCCCGCCTCGGCCTTCCAAAGTGCTGGGATTACAGGCATGAGCCACCGTGCCCGGCCTTATGCTAAAGGGGACACACTTTAAACTGTGGCTCACGTTAATGCGTATAGGGTTCTTCGCTATCGGTTGTAGCTCACTTCAGTTTACTTTAGTTTGGTAAAATTACATTTAAGGTGTGAGGATGAGGTTTAACGTTTTATCAAAACCCTGAATGATGGAAGCAGAGTGGTATGAATGAATATGTCTGTTTTGATCAGGTACAGGCCCAGTGCAAGCATTTAGTGTAGTTTGTTTCTAAAGCTACATGTGTCATATCAATAACAATTCTATTAGGCAGTCACATATCATATTCATTAAGGTCACAGTCTGACCTGTGATGTTTCCAAAGTTTCTCTCTTCTCTTTCCTTTGACCTTCATGGTTTTGATGCCTAGTCCCATATTTTCTTCTTCACTCTGGCCTCATTTGGATCCATTTTTGTCTCCTGTTTTCTTAAGACCCTTCTCTTTGCTAGCTGATCTGATCTAGCAACTCATGATGATAATAACGTCAACAGATAATACCTATTAAGAGTTTATATGCACCAACTGCGGTGCAAATTGCTCACTATACTACACTCAGACGAAAAGTATCATTACCCCCCTTTATGAATGAAGTAAATCTACAGATCAGGATCCCATGGCTAGTTCAAGGTGGCGGTAGAATTGAAAACCAGGCTTCTGTCTCTGACATCATGCTGTTTCCATTACACCACAGAATTTAGCACTACAAAAAATAGTTACTGGAAGACTTTGTTCTGCTATCTTCTTACATTTTAATTCCACAGTAAACCCTCCCACCCTATTTTCTTTTGGTTCTTGTATGAGA
Organism: Homo sapiens; assembly: GCF_000001405.40. Classification (NCBI taxonomy): domain Eukaryota; kingdom Metazoa; phylum Chordata; class Mammalia; order Primates; family Hominidae; genus Homo; species Homo sapiens. Next base: position 169,598,426 of record NC_000003.12, on the reverse strand, counting down.
TTGAATCTTTTTTGTATGTTTTATTGGCAGATGTATATTTTTGAAAAATTTTCAGCCAGTTTTATAACTTGCTGTTTATTTCATATGATGGAAATTACAGCTGCGAAGATGCCATTTTAAGATAAAATTGCATCTAATGCTAATTTAAAATTGGCACCTGGTTTTAAAGTTTATTTAAGGACATTGCTTGTTTATTGGATACCTTTAAACACTTAAATTATTTTCAGATTGATAGCAGGGCAGTTGGAAATGGTGAAGGAGAAAAATGAATTTTTTGTACCCTTATTATGAATCTTTTAATATTTTCATCCTGGTAAAACTTATGAGGCAGCTCTATTTTGAAGATCCAGAAAGGTTGATATACTGGGTGTTTTTCTCTTATTTATTATGGTTTCCTGTAGGGGCAAAAGCTTGGACAACTCTCCCTAACGCTGGAAGTGCCAATTATCTGATGTGTTTACTTGATTTACAGCCTAAGTTTTTGTAGATATCCTGAATTTGAATAAACAGTGGACCACCATCCATGTTTAGTGTGTATTTCTCTATTTGAAATTGTCTCTGTATGACACCAGTCTTCCTTTAATAATAACAGGCTCCTATTTCATTATTCTGGGACAGGAACCTCAGGATATTAGGCCTTGTGTGTTGATACTCCCTCATGAGCTGTTTTGCCACTTCACCAAGAACTCAAAATCAGAGCCCCTGCCAACCAGAGGTATCAAGGTTTGTGAGGCAGGTTAAATCACCCAGAGTGGTCAAATGTCTGAGGACCTAGTCTAAGACTACTGATGCAATTTGAAATTGTAGTCTGTGTATCTGCTTATTATATTTTTTGAAAGAAAAAAACCCAACATGATTTTTTAAAGACATCTGCTCATCTGCTCTGTGCCCATTCTGATATTGGCTGAATATGATGCTCTTGCATTTAGCATTGTTCTTTCTGCAGGCCCCATAAGTCAAAGTTCTCCACGGGTCCTGTGTACAAGGCTGGGGCTGTCTATGTTGGTTTTCCTGAGCAGCTTTCCGTCACCTCCCTGGTGTTGTTGCACAAAGACTCTTTTGTCTGACAATATTGGACTCTTCTCAAAATCTAAGCACTTTCAGGAAAAGACTTGGAAGTCTATCTTCTCAGTTTCCACACCTCTTCGCCCTCTGAGCTGTCATTTAGTATGACTGGTTGTTAGACTCTCCACCCGGCTCCTTATTCAGTTTATTAGTGGATTGCATTATTACTGTACCTATTTTTAAAACTTATGTTGAACATCTCTTAATGTATCCCTGTCTTCTATTTTACTTCATCTTACACTTTGATAAGATTGAGATTTTAGGTGATGTTACTTTTCCATGTCAGGCTGAAGTTCAGTGAGATATTTAATCTTTCCTATACCCTAGCTTGGAAACATGCACCTCTTCACCTCCTTCCAACCCCTCAACTCCCCATAAAACTTTCATTGTCCTAAGAAACTTTTTCTTTTTAAACCAGCAAGATTTGATACACTCTATTTGAATAAGAAAAAAATGCTAATGTGTTTGACTAGTCCAATTTATATTCATAAAATATAGTCACAAAAGAAGAGGCATTTCATTAAACTAAGGTATTTGTAACTATAAGATATTTATATTGGGGAGGTTGTATTTAATATCAGAATACACTGAGGTCATTTATATTTGTTGCTAACTGGAAACACTAATTCTATGGAACAGTCTTTTTTTTTTAGTTTTAATGTTTTTTAGGTTTTAATTTTTGATCAAACAGCATTTTAATTGTTACTGTGCTGTATGGTGAGCGGTAAACTGCTTGCATTTATTTTCTGGTCTGTGTACAGTCATGGAAATAAGGATTTAGTGTCTCTGTAATGTGTACATTGTGATATAATCACTTGTACGCAAAATAGATTTCCTTCATATGCATTTTGAGGACACTTTACCCATTATGAATTCTGCTGAAAACAGTTTTTCAGGTAGAGATGCAATTATATGGTGGTCTACAAGGAGGAACTAACCAAGGATTTCAATTAATAATGTACTTTCAGCCCTCAGAGATATTACGTTTGCCCGATCAAGGGTTATCCATCACCGCCTGGGCTACAGCTGTCTTCCTTCTCTTGTTTCATGTTCTGTGAATGTGCTCATCCAATATGCCCCAGGACAGAAAGCTCTTGGCACAAGAGTTTACATCTAAGTGTTTTCTTCTAAGGCCAGTGACAGTTTCTGAAGATGAAACTTGCACATCTCTCGGAAGTATAATATTAAAGAGTTACATGTAACATTTCAATGAATTAAATAAACTACACCTTTTGAGAAAATGGAGAAGTTGTCAATAATATTTTCCATCCAATTATTCAGTTAGGATGTCTAGAATCCCTCAAATAACATTATATTTTCAATTAGCTAGTTTATCGATTCATCTTGTATTATTTTTCAAAACAGAAAAATATAAACATTATTCTTATTATTGGTGTGCTAGTGTCTGATTGAAATTGACTATATGAATGAAAGAATTCTATTTTTGTATTTGGATTTGATGTTTTTTCTTCAATGTGCCAAAAGTTATTTAAAATAATGTCTACTTTAAAAAATACTACCTCTCTGGTTTTGGTATTTGTGTTTCATATTGAAGAATGGAGTCCCCACAGTATACGTATCCTATAGCCAAGTAACTGCATTTATATTGTTATAAATTTTTGAGGTTGGAATCTCAAGTTTTTAAATTAAATAACTACAGTTAACTGTATTAAGTGTAAGGTTGAATTTGATCAAAAATAAGAAAAGCATTTATGACAACCCCTGTAAATGTTTAAATACTTTAGTTGTGTTTGTGAGCATTAAATTGTATTATAAGAAGCCAACACTGAGTATACTGGTTCCTCTGGGACACATTTGACTTTTGGGAGATAAAAAAATCTTGCATTAATGAAATTCTGCAAGTTTTTGATTTAGTAGACAATGTTTCCAGTATATATGAAGCAATTTTAAAGTGTATATGTGTATAATTACTTGTAGAAACTGTTTAACTTTAATGGGGCATTTCTCGATCACATAATAGGAAAACTAACAGCTTTAATTAAGATTTATGAAGCATAGAGGTAATATATTCTGCTAAATTAGGTAGTCGTTGGTGGGTAGTATGCTTTTAGAGATGAATTTTCTACGTATACTTCACTTCCTTGTGCATTTTGGGTTTAGAAAGGTAATTTGTAACATTAAATCCCTGTATCCATTAGTAGACAAAAGTAAGCTTTGTTTTCTTTTTAAACTTTTAATTAATAATAATAATTTAGTAATGGGCAGATACCATTAAGCATTTCTTTAATCACTGATTTCAGGTCATAGCCACATGAGCCTGTCTTGAAGAAAATAAAGAAAATTCACCATTTTATTCAAGCAACTGGTTAATTTGAAATTGAGTGCTTAGAAACTGGTTGTAGGACTTAAATCAACCAATTCACTTAAAAGAAACAGTTCTCACTAAATTAAATCAGTCCAGCCCTCCCTCCCCCATTAATTTTAGAATATAGATCCAGTTTTTTTTTTGTTTTTTTTTTTTTCAGTTAGATCCAGCTTTTAAGGTCAGATTCTGTGACGTTTATTTGTGTTCCATACTAGGCCTGCTGTGTTGCCTTGTTGTTTTAACATGTTGGTAAGCTTATCAATTGATATTCAGAGAGTATCAACTTTGAGACTCAGGATAAGCTTTGTTATGAAAGCCAGCTGTGTGAAATGCCTGCAGATGGACTAGTGGGAGCGGATGGGCCTGGATCTCCCTTGCTCAGCCTGCCATTCACCTCTTCCCATTTCCCCAAGCAGAGGAGGCTCAGACTTGAGAAGGACTAATGGAAACTCCTCTTCTCCCAGTATTCCTTCAGGGTAGTGGTTGTCGAACTGTAGCCTGTATCGGAATCACCCAATGGGTCTATTAAGCCAGAATGCTGGCCCTGCCCCCTGGAATTTCTGATTCTGCAGGTCTGAGCTGGGGCCTAAGAATTTGACTTTCTAGGTGATGCTGATACTGCTAGTCCAGGGACTACATTGTGAGGGCCACTGCTTTAGGGACAAGAACTCTAAGTTAAAAGAAAAAAAATTAGAAGAATGCCACAGCTCTAGATAGACATAGAAAATTGAGAATAGGTCATTTTCACAATGCCACATGTGCTTCTGTTTTTCTTTATGCTTAGAGCAAAGGGTCAGCTAGTTTTAAGAGAGCATTGTTTTTTTGGTGGAGGGCCTTGAGGTACTTAGGTGAAAAGGTGTTTTTTTTTTTTTTTTTTTTTTGTGGTGGTGGTGGTGTTGTCGTTGAGATGGAGTCTCACTCTGTTGCCCAGGCTGGAGTGCAGCTGGAGTGCAGTGGTGCAATCTCGGCTCACTGCAACCTCTGCCTCCTGGGTCCAAGCAATTCTCCTGCCTCAGCCTCCTGAGTAGCTGGGACTACAGGCGTGCACCACCACACCCGGCTAATTTTTTTGTGTTTTTAGTAGAGACAAGGTTTCACTATGTTGACCAAGCTGATCTCAAACTCCTGACCTCAGGTGATCTGCCTGCTTTGGTGTCCCAGAGTGCCAGGATTACAGGTGTGAGCCACTGTGCCTGGTAGAAAAGTGGTTTTTTGAATGAAGAATAAGCAAATGAAATTGGACCACTTGGTTTAGCCTTATGAGCAATGACTGTCTTTGAATTAACTCCTTGGGAATGGGGATCTCAAGTCCAGCAGCATCTGCCTAGTCTTTTATATCTTTCTCATTGTCAGCTTGATATAGGGTAGAGCCAGTGGTTCTCAGCTGTGGTGTGCAGAGAATCATTGTGGGACTCCGTGGAAATATAGATTCCTGGACCTTACCTGGAGATTCAGATTAGATAGCTCTCAGATAGCATTGAGGAATCTGAATTTTTATCAATAACACTGAAGGAGATTCACATGCTAATATGTCATGGGCCATAGTGAGCTACATATATAGACAATCTGCACTGTATAGGGTATATTTGCCTCAGGAACCCCTAATGGTTCCTCTATTGGGAAATTTTCTCCATCAGCGTTCTTGTCTAGCTGTAATATTTATGCTGTTTTCCTGTGGAATTTAGTTTGTTAGCTCCTTCTCATACCTTGCTTTCTACCAAGTGTAGTCTTGAAAAAATTAATTTCCCTGAGTTTGATTTTTCCCATCTACAGACAGCATGCAGGATGAGGCTACAACATTTCTGCGTTTGTTTTCCTAGTGTTAATACTCTATTAACCCAGCCAAGCTGGGTGCAGTCTTGCAGGCCTGTAGTCCCAGCTTCTGAGGAGGCTGAGGCCAGAGGATCACTTGAGCCCAGGATTTTCAGACTAGCCTGGGCAACATAGCGAGACCCCTTCTCAATAGGAATTTAATTCTTAAAAAATTCTATCAGCATTTAGTAAACAATCAGTAAACAAACAAATGAATAATAAATGAAGGCATATGTATCTCATGTTTTATACATACATATATGTCTTAGATATATAAACATACACCGTATTTTTTATGTACATATATATCCCATGATGTGTGTGTAAATACATATCATGCCTACATATCATGTATAGATTTATAAGTATGTATCCATGTGTATATGTGTATGTGTGTATGTGTGTCTGTAATGTAATACATGTAATTGTGGAAAATGCTGGCAGCTGTTTGGCTTTAAGTGCCCTAATTGAGATGGAGGGCATGGCAAGGGACTCTAAGATGTGGACTTTTAATCCAGATGAAAAGATGAGACTATCATATAAAAAACAACTAGAGAAATTGAACTTCATGATTCTGTGCCCTACGTGGAAAGAATTCTAGAATTTCAGGGCAGAGAGAAGCTCATGTGCTTGGATAAAAGTTACCCAGTAAAGGCTGGACCTAAACTGGGCATTGGGCAAGGATTTAGGGGAACTAGAGAGGAGAGGGCGGTGGACACCCCAGAGGGTAGAGGAGAAGGCTGGAAGGAAAGGATAAACACAACCCAGTTGGGCAGGGTGGGCGTGAGGGCAGTAAGAGGAGGTGGAGGCTGTCTGTGAAAGGGTGAGGAAAATAATGTTGGCCAAGTAGGCTGCAGTTGGCTGAGGAATAATGTGAAAGTCAGAAAGGAAGAGGCCTTCTGGACTGGAGGCAGCCACATCCGTCTTTAGGAGTTGTGGACAGCACAGTGCTGATGCCCAGATTTTTGCTGGTGAGCCAGCAAGTTTTTGTGAACAGCAGACACCCTGGAATTTTTAATCTAGTGTTTTGTTTGGGTTTCTAGTGGTGTGTTTGGGAATTATTTGGGTTTGTTTCTGGCAGTGTGACTCTGAAGTTTGCATTGTGAGGGATGAAGAGCGAGACTGGTTGAAGGGTAACTGCTGGTCGGGGGTAGAACAAAATCTCTGAGTCACAGTCACTCAGCTTTCTGTGTTCTCTCCTTCTGAAAGTGTAAACAGCCACATCATTTCAGTTTGGTTTCTAGAAAATGAAGATGAAATGGGTGGGGACCAGAAAAAACAACAGCATTGATTTTATGAGTATTTTTTTATGGAAAATTATTCTCTATACTGTACTGTTGTTATGGGCCATCTCCTAGGATGTAAAAAGTGCTTGTTTTCAATGGAATTTTCCTTTTAGGAAAGAATTTTATCATATTGTTGCCGGAGAGCATGCTATTTGACCTGTGGTTCTGAATCTTTGTAATAAGGTACTCTACATATTATAACAGGTTTCTCTTTCATTTTGTTTGTTTTTAGTATGAGATTGTCTCTCAAATCCACACATTGTTATATTGGGTCATTCAAGTGAAATAGGTGATTAGCACGGGTTAATGGCTGTATGTCATAATAGTGTGACATAGCAGACAGAGTGTGGGCTTTGGACTCAGACAGAAGAGGCCATTCACTGCTCTGTCTTACAAGTATGTGGGTGTGTAACATGGAGCAAAAAACCAAAGAGAAATAAACCCTAAGTATCATTTGCTAAACGGTGCACTTGGCTTTCTCTCTCGGCTTGGTGCATCCGACTCTCGACTCTCCAATCATTCCAGGGATTTCTCCGTCCACAGCCTACAAAATAACAGCAGAAGGTTACCTTTGGTTTTACAAAGCCAACATTTCCTTGAATCAGAGAATGACTAAACCCACATTATAACTTAGGAGTAATATAAAGTTTACTACTTTGTTGATTTAAGTATAATTACATGTACAAAGATATAAATGATGTACAAAAGGATTCTGTTATTGATTCCCAGTTCTCCTCCACTAATAAGCGAGAGGGCTGAGAGGATTGCCACAGTCCTGGTAGGGTCTGGAGTTTTCTATTCTCGATGAGGTAGTGTTCCATGTCATTCTTGTACTGTGCCTTTCCATAGGATCAAGTTGGCATCCTTGTTTCTGATGACTTGCTAGCAGAAAACTCCCCATCTGGCTTAGGAATTTGCTCAATTTCACTTTGATTAGGGAATCTCCATCAATTCTAAAGCAGATTGCTTTCTCTAATAGGTTCTGCAGAAGGCCTGCTACTAGTTGTCCTTGCTTGCGTTTTGCATTATGCTGTGCTGGTAGGGACGCTTTCTATTTTGCTGTCTTTAGTACAGATAGTAACTTCTAGATTAGTATCTTAGCTAAAACTGATTTCACATGATCACTTCCAGTTTAATACTTGTTAAATATTTTATCTAGCTGCAGCAGCTTAATAATCTTAATGTACAATTATTTCACATCCACCATCAAGTGGCAGTGCGTGGACTTTAAAAATCCCAAGGTTTTCATTATGTAATGGGGAAAAAGTGAGAATCACACTGTTGATTTGTTGAGAAGGTTAAATGAAATATGCATATAGAAGTACCTAGCATGGTGCCTGACATACAACAGAGATTTTAAAAATACATCCTCCTTTGTACCTATGTGACAGGCCTGAATTTTCGAGAAAAGGATTTTATTCTTATTCTGGTTCTCCATTTCTAGTCTTAACAAATTGGCCTCTGACAACCATTTAGAGAAGAACATTCTGCACTGGCCATTCCTCTGTGGGAGCAGATTTTGCCAGGTATGCTCATGTATCGGTGTGGGCACTCTGATTCTAAGGTAGAGCAAATAACCCAAAATATCTCTTGCTGTTGCTATTGTTGCTATTATACCTATTTTAGCTTCCTTAGTCATCTTATTCATCTTGGTATTTACCTCATGCCTATAAGAGCAGGCTTCCCAACTTCATACTTATTCATCAAATCAGTAGATATTTTCCCCCAGAGATGTAGCATGTTAGAAAAATAAATTGGTAAAAACTAATGCTTACTTAGAGTTTGTTTTCCCTTCTTGTTTATAGAAATCCAAAACAAAAACAAACTCCACCTGAACTTGTTGATGATCTGTTGTTTTCCTGCCTCTTGTCCAGATGTGGAACAAAATGGAAGGCATGTGGAGATTCATAGTTCTGAGTCCAAAGATGCCAAGAAAGGGTAGTGCTGAATAAAAGGGAAAGTGAAGACAGAATGCCTGAATTTTAAAGGGTCTTGCAAGTTGGCTCAATTGGTGTCTTTTGTGACAAAATTGTTGCAGTGATTCCAAGGGAATCAGCCTTAGAAACACTAATTTTTCTTCAGAAATTGCATGTGATTTGAACACAGATTTGTTAAAAGTAGGTAGATGGATGTATAGGTTTGTAGGCAGATAGATAGATTTTTCTATGTGAGTCGGAATTGCAGTGTGGCGATGAAGATGAGAAATAACTTGCTTCTACTAATGCAAGTGAGGCCAGGTTAAGCCCAGAGCTTGCTGTATGGACTAGCTGTTCAGCAATAAATCAGTGGGGGTTGGGGAGGGGAGACAGTGGGGAATAGCATGCCATATTACATGGCATAAGAGAAAATCATAAAATGCCAGAGCTGAGGGGTCATTAGAGAATGTTTTTTCCATCCACATCATTTTACAAATGAGGAAACAGAGGCCCTGAGAGGTGGCATGGACTTCCTAGGACCTGCAGTTACCTATAAAGTTTAAAGTAGAATCTACTCTAACATGGTGCCTTCCTGGTCTCTAGAGAGGCGTAGGGATATGGGATGGCCGAATTTGGCCTATTGTCAATCTATGAAATTTTCAGTTACTTCTTAGAGATAAGAATAGTGGTGTCATTCACCCTTCTAGCTCTTATGCTGCAAAGCCTTGTGTCTCTGTGGGAAGCGGACAGCCTAGGTTAATATCCTGGGGCCTTCTTCTCCATCTTCATTTAATATTGAGTAATAGGGAAAATTAGCAACAGGTTAATAATTCGGAGTTTATTTCTTTCCCTAAGACTTGGAGAGTTGGGAGGGAAAAAAGAGGGCCATTTGCATTGGGAATTTTCAGAAGCTACCACACAGCCATTTGAGTAGGGTTTACTTTCTGAATTTTCTGAGTTGAGAGCACAAGGTATGGTAGACTTAAAAATATAGATATGGAATAGTCATACTTCCCAGCCCTCTAATTGGACATGGTGGTTCTTGAAGACAAGAAAAAAACCCTATGTATTTCATTTACCTAAAAGATTTCCAAATTTACTTTTCCGTAGGAGATGTAGTACATTTTCATATTCTGAGAGTCCAGTGCTTTTAAATTAAAAAAAAACCCAATTCATACATATATATCAAAGAACAGCTTCTTTGAGTTAAATCCTTGCTTGCCAATGTGTCCTTTTATGAGATAGGGTCATTTGTCATGAGGGAAAGCAGGATTAATTAACTGTGGAAAACGTACGAAGTGTGGAAACTGTGAGTTCTAAAATGTTTCCACATTAAAACACGGGAAAAGAAGCATAGATGAACGTAGACATCAGTATGACTTTTTTCTTCAGAAGGCTTAAAAAAAAATCTCTCCATCACACAAATGAAACAACCTATTATACACAGTCTTCCCATATGTCTGACGCAGAAACAAATGAGGAATGTACTTTATTTCCACATAAATTGTGTGGTTTCAAAATTCAGTTCCCTTCACCCCTGAATTCTGGCCACCATGTCACTTATATGTCTAACAGGATGACAGAACTTTTAATGGGACGAATTGTAGAAGGGGAGAACCACATAATATTGTAGCTCATGAAAGTATCAAAACAAAACAAAATAAAAGTCACCCACAAAAATCTCTATGGCAAAATAAAAAAGAATTCCAAAAGGAGTTGCCAAAGAAAGGTATATAAGTCACGGCAGCCTTGGGGAAGTCATCATCTATAGCCAGCAAGTCACTTTATGTTCTTATTTTGTTATTTACTCTGTTGTTTGATAAAATGAGTGCTTACATTGAATACTGTAATATTATACAGAAGATATAGAAACTACTTTGAAGATGAAAGATACTCTACATATCCAGGTCTCTCTTTATGTAATTTTATTTTGCTTAATACAAATAATAAAGATTCTGTTTACTTATAATTTTCTTCTGGTTTCTGATGACAATATGGTAAACAATTTTAATTATTATGGTAATTAAATTAACAAATTAATTTGGAACTGTATGGAGTTTATGCATATTTCTGGCTAATTCTGGATCTGATCCTTAAGGCCAGGATTTAATTTTGGATAAAGGGATTCATTTAAATTTGGTATTTTTTTTTTCCTGGCAGGTGAATAATAGAACTTTGTAAACAAATAGAAAAGTGCATTTTAAAAGATAAAAGACATGGAGACGCAACTGGAAACTCTTTGTTCCATGAAGCATTAGGCTATGACAGTGTACAATGTAACTGTTTGCAGTTAAATCAATACACCTTTAGAGTAGCATTGGAAACTATCTTTTGTCCTTACCAGGTTCCTCCTAAATATTTTATAGGTTCTAGCATTACTTTGCATGGTTCCGGTACAGGATATTAAAACGTAAAAAATTAGATCCAACAATATTTGCATCTCCCCTCCCTTTTTTTTCTACAAGGTGTCAAATAACTGGTTTGACTGATTTCCCCAGCTTTCACTGACCAGTTGTTTGAGTTGGCCCATTCAACAGGTGATTGTTTATGTGTGTGTGTGTGTGTGTGTGTGTGTGTGTGTGTGTGTGTGTGTGTTGGCGTGTGGGTTTACATGTGATAAAGAGCCACAGTCCCTTTGACAGAAACCATGCCATATGTGCCAATGGCAAAAAATGTTACTGTTCTCTTAAAACTCATTGTTTTAGGAAAGAGATGTGATTATCAGAAATATTTGGTGACAGCTCCAGGCTTTTTGATAAATGTTGCTGAATCAAAATACAGTATGATCATTTCTGTATTACAGGAAATATTGGGCAGTGAAAGCATTGTGAAGTGTCTGGCAAAAAAATTAGATGCTCAATAAATATTGGTTGGAATGCTGACCCCACCTTTTATTAGGTATACATCTTTGGGCAATTATTTAACCTCTTTTTGTTGTCCAAGTTCCCGCATCTGGAAAGGTGGGGATAATAACTGCACTGCTGTTATTAGGTTATTATGAAAGTTAAATGAGTTAGTACATGTAAGGTGCTTAGAACAGGAACTGGCACATAGTCCTCAATAAATGTGACTTAATATTACCAGTACTATGATTACTTCTTCTACGATTACTACAGATATGCCAGCACTAACTGCTGATACCTAGTAAGTGGAAAGCTATTTCTAAAAGCTGCTGCGCAGAGAACATTACCAGATGGTTATGCTTTAAGAACTGACCAAACTGAATAATTTCACTTGTGTATCTGGTCAGACTGAGCTTTGGTGTAAGGTAGACATAGAGATCTATTAAAACAAACAAACAGAATTCAGTCTCCTGTCTGGGTAAGTGAAGAATCTAAATTGAAATTATATATTCCTAGGGGATGTTACAAAGGCAAATGCTTTCTTTGGGATCTAGTGAAACACAAATACATACCCATATAACACTAAACTGACAAATGGTAAATTAAAACTTTTTTGCGAATATATTATTCTTTAAGCCAAATTTCATTAGCCTGAGCCTTAATATCAGTGATCACCTATTCCTTAAGGACGGTTGTGAAAATTAATGTTGGTAAAGGGTTTCCAGAGGTACAATAGCCATGCAAAATAGTATTGTTATTTATATTACATTGCAAATCTATGCCCAAGGCAATAAAGAAATTATGCTAACTAGACAGCAAACTATTACAGTTGTTGGCTTTAGATGCTTAAAATATAAAGGTATGGGAAAAGTAAAGATGGAAATTTGAATGCAGAGTGTGGTTTATAATGTAAAAAAATTTAAACTAAATAGTATATTCATAACCTTCTATGGTTTTTATGTGTTTCCCCTATGGGAGCAAGTATTCTCATTCCTACTTTACTTGCAAAGAAATGGATAGGAAAATGTAGATTTAAAACCACTTATTGATTAGACAACTATTTGAAGTTTTGAAATGAAAATATAAAAAATAGAAATTGAGTTAATTATTCTGCATAAGACTGTTGATCTTAAATGTTTTCTCTGTTTTGAAATACAGGGTGCAATTTTGTGGTTGTAGAGTCTTGCATAGGAATATGATAGGGAGAAGGAAGACAAAAATGTTAGAATTAATATGGATTTGCCTCCCAGGATACAGAACCACCTGCTAAGAATGTTCTTAACATTTTTTTCTGTTTGGGAGATTTAAAAAACTTGTTATTCCTAAATAGCCCTCAAGAAGTGTATTGAATGGCAATCATTCATTTATTCATTCACTCATTCAACCAGTATTTATTAAGTGTTGACTATATACCAGAAACTGTTACAGGTGCTATTAGTGAACAAAGCAGATAAAACTCCCTACCCTCATGAAGATGCAGCTTTTAAGAAGGGATGGGTAGGAATATTTAAAATAGTTAACAACCTCTGCGGTCCAGGCAGCAAACCAGTCTGACAGGGCATGGACAGGTATAACCTTATAGGTGTCTATAGACCTGGTAATAATACCTGGTTCTTGGCCCTGGTGTTAGGGACTTTGGGTGGGTTGGTGAGGTAGAGGCGAAATGAGGAGAAATATACATCTCTTGCCTTCAAGAAGCTTATGGTTTAATAAAGGAAATGAGCCAAATACACACATAATTAAAATACAAAATAGAACTTCCACAAACTTTTATTTTTATAGAATTATTTTCTCTGGAGTTTTAGAGAAATTAAATGCTACACTTATATTGTATCATCATCTCTTCAATCCTTAAATCTTCGATTCAGCACTATTCAATTGCCTGTCCCATTCCCCTGCATTAAACTTCAGAGGTAATGACATCAATCTCTGGGATAATAGAACCATACATTTGGTAATGATTCAGTGTTTGGCCTCCAGGCAGGTAAAGACACAAACCATTTAAGACAGATGGTCATTGCTCCTATTTTAAAAAGATTTCTAAGACCTCTAATCCATAACCTCTATTGGTCATCTTGTCCAATATTTAAAAATGTTCTTATATTTATTACTGTCAAGAAGATTTTCTTTATGTTCTATCCATTTTCCCATTTCATCTTGCTTGATAATCTGTGGAAATGAAAGACAACTAGTCAGCATCATTCTCGTAAGATCCTTTCGCACTTGATTCTTGAACACTTCTAGTGAAATAACTAGAATTTATATTGTCTTTTCCTTTTAGGATCTAGTTTTCATCCTCTTAGTACTTTTTGGTACTGCTCATTTTCAGTGTCTTCATTCTTTAAAATGTGAATACAGTGCTGGGCAGCGTGGACCACTTTATATATAGTCTTTAGCATTATTGATTACAGAGAAAGGATGATTTCTCAGCTGCCAAATGTCATACTCACTTGTTAAGTCCCACTTTCTTTAGAAATACACAGTAGTTTACCAGTAGTATACTCAAATTCAATTGGAAATGTACTACAAGTCTAAGTGTCCTCCTTTTGAGCCTTCCCAGACTTTCTCTAACTCATTCTTCATTTTCTTCTGTAATTTTTTTTTTTTTTTTTTTGAGGTGGAGTTTCGCTCTTTCGCCCAGGCTGGAGTGCAGCGGCGCCATCTCTGCTCACTGCAAGCTCCACCTCTTGGGTTCACGCCATTCTCCTGCCTCAGCCTCCTGAGTAGCTGGGACTACAGGCGCTCGCCACCACGCCCGGCTAATTTTTTGTATTTTTAGTAGAGACGGGGTTTCACCGTGTTAGCCAAGATGGTCTCTATCTCCAGACCTCGTGATCCGCCCGCCCCGGCCTCCCAAAGTGCTGGGATTACAGGAGTGAGCCCCCGCGCCCGGCCTTTCTTCTGTCTTTATTAAACTTCATTTTGTTTCTTAAAAAAACAACTCTTTAATTTAAAAAAATTTGTTCTAATGTCTATTACTGTCTTTTAATGTTAGCTTTGGTTCCTAGAATGAGAATATCTTCTATGTCTTTATTTCAGTAACAATAACAAAACTTGCTTATGGACTGAGGAGCCTCATTAAGACAAATAACTGAAATAATATTCTCTCAGCAGGAATTCATAGAGTAAATGCATGCATATTTAGAATAATTGGGGCTTGCAGTGGCCAGGATTTGGCCAGTTGTGACAAACTGAAAGTAACCACAATTGATCAATTTTTGAGAATTAAGCTACGGTAAATATTTCTCAAATAATTGATTTTAAAATATTTACTGGCTGGACACGGTGGCTTATGCCTATAATCTCAGCACTTTGGGAAGCCAAGGCAGGAGAATTGCTTAAACCCGGGAGTTCAAGACCAGCCTGAGCAACATAGTGAGACTTCGTTTCTTAAAAAAAAAAAAAAAAAAATTAGCCAGACGTGGTGGCATGCTTGGATCCAGGAGGTAGAGGCTGTAGTGAGTTCTGTTTGCATCCAATCTGGGTGACACAGTGAGACTCTGTCTCAAAAAACAAACAAACAAACAAAAAATTACCAATCTTCAACTATTATCAAGTCATGATTATGAACATTAATCCTTAGTTTGTGCTTTTTTAGAAGTAGTAAATATAGGAGTTTGGGTTGGCATGCACTAATCCAAGCATTTAAGTGGAGATTTGGAATGTGATGGGCAGTTCTACAGGAAGAGAAAGAGAGAGGGAGGGAAAGCGAGAGATAGAGGGGGAGAGAGAGGACAACATGTTTCACTTTGTTAGTTGTTTGGATTTCAGGTTTTTGGGAGTAGAATGTACAACCCCAACAGATGCAATGCGGTTAGTTTATGGAGTCTATGCATGTTTTATCCTGGATTTTCAGTGTTATCGAGGGATATAAGTAGAATTATTATTGATTTCTTTATGTATGAATGGTAGGTGAGAAATACTTCCTTGAAAGGCAGGCACAAAAGAGAGTATTACTACTCTGCCTGCTCATTCATTCATTTTAGCTACTCATGGTGTGCCAGGTACTTTGCTAGTACTTTGTAAAACAATCTTTTAATCCTTCATTTTGTGATTGAAGAAACTGAGGCTCAGTGAGATTAAGACAATTTCCCAAGGTCACAGAGCAACTGGAGCTGGTTCATTTCCAAACCTCTTGTACAATTTCCTCTGTGCCATGTAACCTTTCCTTTATTCATTTGTTCTATGTGTGTATATCTGTAAATCATTTGTATTTCTTTTTATTTAAGTTTGGGAACACATGATATTTCGTTTTGTCGTATATACCAGTAAGCAAAACAAAGTTCCAAATAGATGTGCTGAAACTGACAAATCATAAAGAAAACCCTAAGTGTTTAAATCATGAATAGTCAGTCCCACAGGAGGAAGGCTCTAGGAAGGAACTTGTACAATGTGCCTCCTCCTGGCTGCTGCTTCCTGACGCAGCTGGTCAAATGTAATTTCAGAAGTTTTGCTAAAACCTTCTCTGAAGGTGTTTTTAGCTACAGGTGAAAGGATGAAACATCAGGAACTTTGGCAGGGTTGTGCAGAGACAAAGGAAGGGAAGGATTGGCCCTAGTGTGTGAGCTGTGAGCTGCTATTAGCCCAGAGTTTTGTTTAGTGGATACTTAACCTGTGTGAGGATAAATAATACACAGTTTGACAGGATAAACTGAAGTCAACATGGTAGCTTCTTCTTTTAGGGTTCTCCCTTTAAAAATTTTCTTCTATTCCCCATTTTCTTTAACCACTCTGCGTTCATTTTCCCGTTTTTCCCCATCTCCCTCTTTTTCCTCCTGTTCCTGTCCTTTTGTGTTTTTGGACCCCAATCCATGTTGCCCTCTTTTTTATTTGTTTTATTTCTTCTTTCTACATTTATTCTCTTTTTTTCCTTTCTTTTATTTAGTCCTTTCCTTTCTCCCTCCCCCACAACCTCCTTATATTTCTTCTTCATCTACTCTCGCTTGATATTTTCTGCAAAGCGCTGCCTGGGCCCCTTGACCTCACAAGAAGCTCTCTGACGAAACGCTTAAGAAAAACAAGGTATTATGCATTATCCTACACATTCTGCAATCGCCCTAGCAATTTAGTAACTACAGTCCAATTTAAACCAGGCCTCAAGGCAACAAAAATTGCACCAAATGCCAACTAATTTACCAAACTTATAGAAGGAATATTTGGGAGTCTATTCCCTTCAACCCATCTGATTCATATTATTGACTCATTTAGAAAACAGAAAGTGAACAGAGACAAGTTTTTAAGGAGTTTGGTTTCATGCAAATGACTTGCAATTGCAGCCCATTATTTTTATACCACGACTTCATTAGTCATATCCCTGTCAGACCTGTGACCAGTGTCAAATGTTTTCAAAAAGCACACCAGGACAGGCATGGAACTCATCAGCCTGTGTCAAAGGTCGCTCTCATTAAGGAGTCAAAATGAAAACTTTCAGTGTCTCTAACACATCGCATAGCTCTCCCTGGTACTCCCACCCCCAGTCCTGAAATCCAGGGCCAGCTAAGCACCTCCAGCTCCCCAGACATTCAAATAAGATCAAGATGACAGGGCAAGAAAATGAATAGAGTTCTTACCCGGCTGGACCTCATAATCTGGTACTGATTGAAACAACCAGAAAGCTGTTTGCCAGGTCTTATAGCACCATTTCCTGAGGTTAAACATAACATCTCAAAATGAAGCAATTAGGGGTTTCTCCAAAACAAGAGTCTTCAGTAATTAAAAAAGAAAAAAAAAGGCAGAAAGCAAGAAAGAAGAAAATAAAGACTATCATGGTAGGAGCTGATTAGGCCCATTAGGTAGGGTTTGATGGTGGAGGAACTGCTTTTTTTTGCCACCTGGGAGGTCAACTTTTGATTATGGAAGCAGTAGGTAAAGAAGAACTTATCGATAATAGTGCTATAAAGATGGACATTAAGGAATCTGAAGATCAGAGATAAGAAGAAAACCATCTTTCCCAGGACTCATTTGGACAATATGGAATATCAGAGATTCGGTGCTCCTTTTCTTGTTTCATTTTGTTTTGAATCATTACTGCTTTTCTGAAGACCTGTTCACTATGTGAGCATAGCCTCTGTGTTATGATGCTATAAGGGATTTCCAAAGAGGTCTGAGTGATGGTTTCTTATTTTCCTTCAGAATCTTCTTCAAGCCACATTCTGGTGTTGGTGTTGGTGTTGGATTTGGGTTCCTAGGAGACTTGAAACATGGATTACATCCTGTCACCACAATATTTGGCTGGTTACAGTGGCTTTAAGATTGATGAACAGATATTTCCAGTATCACGTGGGGTAAATGTCAAGGAAGCCTCTAGTTGTCAATACGACATTTTGCAAAAACAAAACAAAACAAAACACAATTTAACAACAGGAAATCTCAAAATGTGATGACTCTATATTGATTTCTAGAGAACACACAATCTGCTCTTAAATTTACAAGTCATTTGGGGCAACTTGATTTAATTCTGTGGTAATGTCTATGACTTTTCTCTCTGCTTACTTACTAACTTAATTAATTACTCACACTTGAATGAGAGTCTCTCCCAGCCTCCATGAGCTGCCTTTTCAGGAAAATAGATATCACACAAAAGCATGTTGCCTCATACTTGTTTTCCAGTATCTGAGTTCTAAACCTTTTTGGGCCCAATTTTGATTGTCTTGGTGCAGGGATACTTTGAGGGTAACTGGAGGTGAATATTTTATTTTATTCATTTAGTTTTAGATATTTGATATGTACCTCCACAGTGAGCTAAAGGAAAAAGGATCAAGACTGTGAGTAGTCTATAAAAGGCATCCTGGATATTGTGATGTGGCAGTAGCAGTACCCAAACACTACACATTGGGTACAGCGTACCCTGCTCGGGTGATGGGTCCACCAAAATCTCAGAAATCATCACTAAAGAACGTATTCATGTAACCAAACGTCATCTGTTCCCCCAAAACCTATTGAAATTAAAAAAATTGCATGCCCCAAACTGAAAGCATTGTTCGACGCCACCATATTCTCTCTAAAGTCCATTCGTCAATTTCTGCACTTCAAAATATAGACAAATAGTCTACTAATAAAGTGGCAAGCCTCCCACACTAAGGATAGTACCAGCTATTTCCTGTAAAATGGAATTCTCATGCTGGACTTCAGGGTAATATCTTTGCAGATTCCTAGCAGGTGACGAGTTGCTCACAATGGGCTCTGTGCTCAGTGCTTGGCTGAGAGGGATACTTCAAATTAATAATTGGGCTCCTACGAAAATCCTCTCCTGAGGTGCAGAAGATGGATATAAATGAGATGAAATGGTTGTGCTGTGGAAATCTCACTCAAATGTTGCATGGCATTCTTTTGTGTCTCCTGCTCTCTCTTTAGGCTGCTGTTGGCAGATCAGCTAGTTGGGATTTCACTGAACCTTAACCCGTGTATAGGTGGTAGAATATCATGTTCAGTCCAAGAGAATCCTGACATTTTCATTTGGGCCCAGCTAGGAAGAATTCAAGGGCTTTCACTTATGAAGAGCTACTTTGTGCTTTCTTCCCTTTTTGGGAGGTTAACTATAATGCCTTACCCTTTGGGTTCTGGGGCTCACCCCTTTATACCTGTGGCCTATCAGTTTCCCAGTGGTAAAGCATCATATCCTTGTTGTGAATCTGTGATTGATGCCCTTGGCCTAGGGGCTCCCTCTTACCCCTTCAGGAAACAGGAGGGCTAGAGAGATAGCGCTCAAGTTTTCTTTCACAGTCCCTGTTTCCTAACTCTAATCACCTTCTGCTGTGGGAAAGAGATGAGATGAGGCCTAAAAAACAGATCATTGTCCGCCTCCTAGATTAATGCAGAGAAAGCGGTATTGTCTGTTGAATGGATAAATCTTCCTGCTGTCACTCAAAACCTAAATTCAACGCTACTTCATTTCTAAGAGGCTTATCTTCCTTGAATAGACCCTTGCAGCTCAAGTAAGAGGCGATGTAATGAAGCGTGTTTTTTTCTTAAGTGAGAAACCTGCTGCAAAGAAGGGGGAAGACTGTGCAGCTGTTCTAAAGGGGCTCTGCAGACTCTCGAAAGACTTGTCATTTATCTGGTCTTGCATGACATCAAATGATAGAAGATCAAGTTCAAAATCTGCCAGAGCAGCTCAAAAGGGCTTCTTCATCTGTTAATTAAATAATGGTTATTAACATACAATGTTGTGCAGCTGGGATTTGTATCAAACATTATGGGAAAAATATTGCCCTAGCTTTCAACACTTCCCCTTCAGTCTGTGTTTATTAGGAGGCAAATAGCTTGGGAAATGGCAATGGTCTTACCCAAATCTGAAAGTTAATATTGATGCCATAATATGTGGTTAAATGAAAGAGCAACTAGACAGGTGGGTATTAGGCAGATGGATAAATTCAAAGTGACATGCTGAGATCATTGAAGAGTATACCCTTTTGTGTACGCTTGTAATTAATTCAGCGGTCCCCACAATGTGGGTTCACTGACTTCTTCTGAAAAGTTAAATACATGCAACACACACACACACATGCAATTACTATAAATAATTGCTTATTTACTTTGGTTTAACTTAGGCTACTCTATTACGCTAAAGTTTAATTTGAACTTTGGAATAGATGTCAAGATTTTCATCACTGCAATAAATTTTACTGGATAAGGATAATTTTAGCAGCATTTCATCATCCACTGGCTTGAGTTTATGTGTACAAGCTACAAAATTACATTTAAATATGTCTTGCTTTATTAGTCTGTATGTAATTAAATGGCACCACATTTAAGCTTAGAGCTACAGAAAGTAGGCAATATCCTTCAGGAAAAAAGTGGTTTGGAAAGGTGTGAAACTCTAAAAAAAAATTTATGCTCCATAGTAATTTCCCTTAAAAAAGCATCGTGAGTTGTATCACTGAAGAAGTCCTGGCAGGTTTTTAATTCCCACTGAGTAACTGAGCTTAAAGGAAATAGTGACCACAGAATAATTTTAAAAACTTCCATTTTGTGATTTCAAGTCCATATCACACATCTTTTAAGTTGTCTAAAGCAATTATTTTATACTTGTTAATGAACAGGGCTTATAATTTAGACTACCCTTAATTTATAGCAGTTAGTTATCTAATCCCTTGATATTTATGACAATAAGTACCATATTAGAAAACAACGTCTTTTTTTTTTCTTAGTACGAAGCATCAACTCTGATTGTTTTCCTACTTTGCTTACTAATCCTAATTTGTCTAAGGAATGCATGGTCAATTCATGTTGACTGATAATCCAAAAATCTGAATTTAGTGATTAGCTTTGACTTTTTCTCCAACTAAGGCTATCACTTGGTTAGAGAACAATGAGCTCCGTTAACTGACTTGAAGTTTACCTCTCCCATCTCCTCCAGGTCCTCTGTAGAAATAACAAGTAGAGAAATTTCCAGAAGATGTACAATGAAATAGGGAGGAAGTGGAAAATACATGGAAAATATGCAAATTAGTCTGGCTGTGGCTGAGAGTTGCCCAATTTCAAAGAAGATTCTGAATCCAAATTTGAAGCCTTGTTGAATTATTTGAGCTTCTAGGCACTGTCGGATCATTCATTCATTCATTCATTTAACACCTCCATGGGGCCTAACACTATGAGTCTGGTCTTTTCTTTACCTTCTAACCATCCATCTGGTGTTCAGTAAAGGCGACCATAGAAAAGCCAACTTTTTAGTGTTTACAGCAGTTTTGGAGAAAAAAAAAAAAAGGCAACTTTTCGGGGTTTTAGCCAGCTGTCTTGTAGATTCACTTAGGTTCATGAAAGTTTGGAATGAAGAGAGTTAGATGGCTAGTGTAAACTCATTTTTATTAATTATAAAGCAGCTTGCAGCACAGGGTTTACTGATAAGCATCAGCAACAATGTCTTTTACTCAAAACATATTATCTGCTTCTCAATGCCAGGACTCTGATGACATAACAGCTTTTTAAGCACTTACTATGTGCTGGGCACTGTACTAAGTTTTCTTTATACGTTAACTCATTTCATCCTCACAATAACTCTGTGAAATAAGTTACTATTATTTTCCTCATATCTTTTTAACATGTGAGGAAACAGAGGTACAGAGATGTCAATTCACTTGCTTATAGTCACTCAGCTTAGAAGTGGCAAAACCAGGATTCAGACTCAGAAAACTTGGTTCCATGCTCTTTACCCTACACTAAACCATGTCTAAAGTAGCGTTAGCAAGTGAAGAAGTTGAGACCCCTAGCATATATCTATCTTGGCCCGGCCAGTGCTATGTCTACACAATGTCTAAATTGGTTATTTGATATTATATTAACTCCAAATCCCCAAACTTGTGAATGGCATTTATCACTCTTAACTCTCTCTCTCTCTCTCTGTGTGTGTGTGTGTGTGTGTGTGTGTGTGTGTGTGTGTGTGTAAAACAGGAAGTGAAATCCTGGAAAACAGACAATAAAATGAAATCCTGATCATGGACCTTGGATGCATCACTGAACCTTTCCAAGTTTCAACCCCACTCTCATACAGAGAAATACATTTTAAATGACTACCATAGTGCTTGGTACAGAGTATATGCTATTATGATTGAGAATGAGGTAGAGTGCTGAAGTTTAACTAGATAAATTAAGTAATTAGTGGCTTACCATTAGAGAATTCATTGTTGCAGAATGTTGGGAAGGTTGAGGAAGGCCATGTTTAATTGTAAGGTATGCATAACCTTCCTTACGCTGGCTGAATAAAAATTCCAATACCTTTTTTGATGTGCCACACTGTTCCAAGGCTTCTCTGGGACTTGGGGTGCATTTCATCTTGAACTATGAATTGCAGAGATTTTTATCGTCTTCTGTCACATACACAGCATCCTTTTATTGTGGTTTTTGATGCGTTAAATATGTTTTTATGGCCCCCTATGTCTATTGTGCCTAGCATACTGTTGGTACTTAATAAACGTTAAATAATAATAATATATGTGCATATGAGATGTGTGGAAAGGAATGACATACTGTTTTAAGGATCTGAGATTGTTCTTCTGGTGCCTGGGGAAAACATACAGATGAGCATGTTACTGGGAATAGATTAGAAGGAACCATCAATAGCAATGTCATCTCCCTAAAATATGATGTGGCTCTGTCAGCACAAATCATAAACTCCATCTCCTACCCTGCATCACTGTAGAAATCTAATGTGGAAAGTTGAATTCCTAGATTAATAGAAATGGGTATACAGGCACCTTAGAATTTTGCGAATTAACAAATGATGCTGTCTTTCTTGTGTATCAGTGAATTTGTACGGTTTACAGGGAAATGCTAGGCTGAGCTTTGGGTTTTTTGTTTTGTTTTTTTTTTAACTCTTAAGGGAACCTGTCCAGAGAGGTTTTGAGGGTGTTCTGCTTTATTTCCTTGGATGAAGAGGAGGGGCTCCAGATACTGTCTTTTCAGGGACTGTTTCCCCCCTTAACTGATATCTTTGTCAGTAAGGAGACACCTGCATCCGTGCAGTTCCACCAGTTGAACGACACACCACTTCACTAGTTCTCTTCCTTTCCCAGCTGGATGCAGCCCAGAATATCAGTTCTCTGCCTTGTGCCAAAAGCCTTCTAAGTCCAGTGTGGAGGTGTTTGTGTAAGATAAAAGCAGGACAAGGCGGCATCCCCGGACGGCTCATCTGTTTACATGTGTCATTTGGCTCAGCCCTGATTAGCTCATTAGCAAAGAAGGCAGGAAAACGAGCAACCCAGATTTGGTGATTCATCAGGTCTGTTCCTCTCTGGGGAGACAGTGCTGGCATTCTCTGCCAGTCTTCGGAGTGCCTGGTCTTTTTCAGTCCCCCAGGGTAGAGTTTGTTAAATGTATTTCTACCCCCGCAGGGCACACCTTCCCCTGCTGGAAAGACAGATGGCTTAGATTGAGAAAGGGAGTCACTGCTTTTAGTTGCTCCTTTTAAAAATCATTTTCTTTTCTGCATGCAGAAAACTTATTTTGATGGAGCCAATATTTAAGGCGAAGCTTTCTTATGGGCTGTGAAACTGAGGGTCTTTAATGCTTTTTATGTTTGAAGGTTCTATTCGAGAGGTTTTTGTGAGGACATAAATTACGGGTAGCAACAGGTATATTTTTCCCTTAGTACAAAGGCCAAGTGTAAGTTTTTTACTAGTTAAGAAGGGTCTGTTCTTTTCTTTTTGACCTTGATTTTTTAGCGATATTCTGCTTTGCCCCTGCTTCGGTTGTATTATTCCCTGACCCATCCAATTACCATTTCTATCAGCGCTTCGGAAAGATTATGCTTTTTGGGTGTTCTGTAGATGTCTTTCCAGTGGCTTCACTTGATGAATGTGACAAGTTTTGTGTTTTCTCCCTCCCCTCATTGAATTGAAAAGTTTTTTTTTTTTTTATAAATACAGGCCAATAAGTGCCCAAAGGCAGTGTTTCAATGGCTGCTAAGTCTTTCAAGGTTAGGACTTAACCTCCGTTCTCCCTAATTCAACTCCAACCTTCAGTCTGAAGCCAATCAAGAATATCAGATGATACTTAAACAATGAAGGATTTCTGATATTCAGGTACTGCCTCTGTTCAATAGGATTGCAAATTCTTTGTGTGAAGAAAGTCGGTTTTGCTCTAAAGTACCGTCACAAAAAGTGAAATTACCATTTGCTTGGAATGATGCCATTCATCATTGTCAGAATACTAAGCATTGTAAGTAGCTAGGCCTCTCCAAATTAATGCCTTGTTTTGCATCGGCTAAATTTCCCAAATCCTTGAGGATGGGTCATACAAAACTCATCTCACCATTTTAATTTATCAATCCAATATGAGTTCTGTGAAAGGGAGCTTCCTTCACTCTTAGCTCTTTTATTTACAGTCTAATTCTAAAAGAAAAGGAAATAAGATATGAAAATAAGTTGGAAAATAAGATAAATCTCTCGGTGAAATCACCAGATCTCAGTCCTGTAGCAAAACCTCCATAATTCATCTGTAGGTCAGCTCAAGGGATTAGCCATGACGTATTTGGAAATTCATTTATTTTTATTTTATTTTGCTGTTTCTTATGCATAAGGGTAATGCTGTCCCCAAGGCTTTTCAGGTAGCCCTCAAATCTTGACAACATTTGCTGTCTCTGAGGCCTAAGCCAAAATTAATTTTCAAATAAACAGCATAAAAATGTATGGAGTTGTATAAATTTGAATACAAAATGCATTTGTTTTGTTTGCTTACATACATACATACATACTGTCTGTTCAGCCAAAAACCATAATATCACATTGAAATTAATGGCCATATGCACATCATGAAAGTCAAAAAAGTTTTTCTTGAGTTAAAAAAATGCAGAACATGCAGCATTTTATTTCATTTCCAACTCAACGTGGTCTTTAACATATCTTCATAGGATGTGTTTTAATTGTTTATTTTTCCTAGAAGGAAATTTAAAAATCTTCCATAGGAAAAACTGGTACCTAGGAAATTGTATGGTTTTTATTAGTTCAAAAGATTCTGTTGCCTTGGGAGATATGAAGATATTTTCTTCTTGAAAGTTAAAAAAAAGGTAAACCAAATTATGCCGCTTGATTTCCTTCCTCTGATAAAAGATAGATAAAAGCAATGTAGAATTAAAATGGGATGAAATCCGCTAAGGTCTATATTGGGACTTCTTTTTGGTGGCTACAAGGAAAAGAAAAAAGGATTCTGTAGTTATACAAAGATAGTCCAGGAGGCAGGCAGTCTGGCTGACGGTATGCTGCTTCGGCTGCCGTCAGATACCTGCATCTATTCCTCACATGATGACCAGCCCACGGGAGCCTACAATATCATGAATGCCATAATTTCTCCCTTTCCAAGATTCCAGCCCTCAAAATGGTTTTTAAATATACTTCCACAAGGGGGCTTTGTGTACATTTACAAAATTTTTTGTTTGTATGCTTAGATGTTTCTTAAATATATTAAAAAATGAACTTCTTCCGAACAAGGCATGGAAGTTTCATTCGTTCGCCTTTTGAAATCTTTATTATGCAGAAAACAAAACCGGCTCCCTCCTCCTGTGTAGCCTCTGATGTGGAAGAGGTCTGTGAAAGCAGAGGGTGAGGGGGAGAAGCCTGGGAGCAGGAGCTGGTGTCCAGCCTGGCTAGGCTGCCCCTGGGGCGTGGATCTTTCAGCTGTATTTCAGCTTGTGGGGTGAAAGCTTCAACATGGCCCAGTTTTGATTGCCCAGCTGAAAATGGCTGTGTATGTGATAGCATTTTTTTTTTCTTATACTTTAAGTTCTGGGATACATGTGCAGAACGTGCAGGTTTGTTACAAAGGTATACACGTGCCATGGTGGTTTGCTGCACCCATCAACCTGTCATCTACATTAGGTATTTCTCCCAATGCTATCCCTCCCCTAGTCCCCCAACCCCCAACAGGCCCCGGTGTGTGATGTTGCCCTCCCTGTGTCCATGTGTTCTCATTGTTCAACTCCCACTTATGAGTGAGAATATATGCGATATTTGGTTTTCTGTTCCTGTGTTATTTTGCTGAGAATGATGATTTCCAGCTTCATCCATGTCCCTGCATCCTTTTTAATGGCTGCATAGTATTCCCTGGTGTACATGTGCCACATTTTCTTTAACCAGTCTATCATTGATGGGCATTTGGGTTGGTTCCAAGTCTTTGCTATTATGAATAGTGCTGCAATAAACATATGTGTGCATGTGTCTTTATAGCAGAATAATGTATAATCCTTTGGGTATATACCCAGCAATGGGATTGCTGGGTCAAATGGTATTTCTGGTTCTAGATCCTTGAGGAATCGCCACACTGTGTTTCACAATGGTTGAACTAATTTACAGTCCCACCAACAGTGTAAAAGTGTTCCTATTTCTCCACATCCTCTCCAGCATCTGTTGTTTCCTGACTTTTTAATGATTGCCATTCTAACTGGTATGAGATGGTATCTCATTGTGGTTTTGGTTTGCATTTCTCTAATGACCAGTGATGATAAGCTTTTTTTCATATGTTTGTTGGCTGCATAAATGTCTTCTTTTGAGAAATGTCTGTTCATATCATTCATCCACTTTTTGATGGGGTTGTTTGATAGTTTCTTGTAAATTTGTTTGGGTTCCTTATAGATTCTGGATATTAGCCCTTTGTCAGATGGATAGATTGCAAAAATGTTCTCACATTCTGTAGGTTGCCTGTTCACTCTGATGAAAGTTTCTTTTGCTGTGCAGAAACTCTTTAGTTTAATTAGATCCTATTTATCAATTTTGGCTTTTGTTGCCATTACTTTTGATGTTTTAGTCATGAAGTCTTTGACCATGCCTATGTCCTGAATGGTATTGCCTAGGTTTTCTTCTAGAGTTTTGTATGGTTTTAGGTCTCACGTTTAAGTTTTTAATCCATCTTTAGTTAATTTTGTATAAGGTGTAAGAAAGGGGTCCAGTTTCAGTTTTCTGCACGGCTAGCCAGTTTTCCCAACACCATTTATTAAATAGGGAATCCTTTCCTTATTGCTTGTTTTTATCAGGTTTGTCAAAGATCAGATGGTTGTAGATGTGTGGTATTATTTCTGAGGCCTCTGTTCTGTTCCATTGGTCTATATATCTGTTTTGGTACCAGTACCATGCTGTTTTGGTTACTGTAGCCTTGTAGTATAGTTTGAAGTCAGGTAGCGTGATGCCTCCAGCTTTGTTCTTTTTGCTTAGGATTGTCTTGGCTGTACGGGCTCTATTTCTGTTCCACATGAAATTTAAAGTAGTTTTTTCTTATTCTGTGAAGAAAGTCAATGGTAGCTTGATGGGGATAGCATTGAATCTATAAATTACTTTGGGCAGTATGGCCATTTTCATGATAGTAATTCTTCCTATTCATGAGCATGGAATGTTTTTCCATTTGTTTGTGTCATCTCTTATTTCCTTGAGCAATGGTTTTTAGTTCTCCTTGAAGAGGTCCTTCACATCCCTTGTAAATTGTATTCCTAGGTATTTTATTCTCTTTGTAGCAGTTGTGAATGGGAGTTCACTCATGATTTAGCTTTCTGTTTGTCTATTATTGGTATATAGGAATGTTTGTGATTTTTGCACATTGATTTTGTATCCTGAGACTTTGCTGAAGTTGCCTATCAGCTTAAGGAGATTTTGGGCTGAGATGAAGGGGTTTTCTAAATATACAATTCTGTCATCTGCAAACAGAGACCATTTGACTTCCTTTTTTTTCCTATTTGAATACCCTTGATTTCTTTCTCTTGCCTGATTGCCCTGGCCAGAACTTCCAATACTATGTTGAATAGGAGTGGTGAGAGAGGGCATCCTTGTCTTGTGCTGGTTTTCAAAGGGAATGTTTCCAGCTTTTGCCCACTCAGTATGATGTAGACTGTGGGTTTGTCATAAGTAGCTCTTATTATTTTTAGATACGTTCCATCAATACCTAGTTTATTGAGAGTTTTTATCATGAGGGGTGTTGAATTTTATCAAAGGCCTTTTATGCATCTGTTGAGATAATCATGTGGTTTTTGTCATTGGTTATGTTTATGTGATGGATTATGTTTATAGATTTGCATATGTTGAATCAGACTTGCATCCCAGGGAAGAAGCCGACTTGATCGTGGTGGATAAGCTTTTTAATGTACTGCTGGATTCAGTTTGCCAGTATTTTACTGAGGATTTTCACATTGATGTTCATCAGGGATATTGGCCTGAAATTTTCTTTTTTTAATGTGTCTTTTTCAGGTTTTGGTATTAGGATGATGCTGGCCTCGTAAAATGAGTTAGGGAGGAGTCCCTCTTTTTCCATTGTTTGGAATAGTTTCAGAAGGAATGGTATGAGCTCCTCTTTGTACCTCTGGTAGAATTCAGCTGTGAATCCGTCTGGTCCTGGGCTTTTTTTGATTGGTAGGCTATTAATTACTGCCTCAATTTCAGAACTTGTTATTGGCCTATTCAGGGATTTGACTTCTCCCTGGTTTAGTCTTTGGAGGGTGTACGTGTCCAGGAATTCATCCATTTCTTCTAGATTTTCTAATTTATTTGCATAGAGGTGTTTATATTATTCTCTGATGGGAGTTTGTATTTCTGTGGGATCAGTGATGATAATATCCCCTTTATAATTTTTTATTGTGTCTATTTGATTCTTCTCTCTTTTCTGCTTTATTAGTCTGGCTAGCGATCTATCTATTTTGTTAATCTTTTCAAAAAACCAACTCCTGGATTCATTGATTTTTTGAAGGGTTCTTCAAGTCTCTATCCTTCAATTCTATTCTGATCTTAGTTATTTCTTCTGTTAGTTTTTGAATTTGTTTGCTCTTGCTTCTCTAGTTCTTTTAATTGTGATTTAGGTTTTTGATTTTAGATCTTTCCTGCTTTCTCCTGTGGGCATTTAGCGCTATAAATTTCTCTCTAAACACTGCTTTAGCTGTGTCCCAGAGATTCTGGTATGTTGTGTCTTTGTTCTCAAAGTTCTTTGAAATAAGTTTCAAAGAACTTATTTATTTCTGCCTTAATTGTGTTATTTACCCAGTTGTCCTTCAGGAGCAGGTTGTTCAGTTTCTATGCATTGTCAGGTTTGAGCGAGTTTCTTAATCCTGAGTTCTAATTTGATTGCACTGTGGTCTGAGAGACTGTTTGTTATGATTTCCATTCTTTTGCATTTGCTGATGAGTGTTTCACTTCCAATTACATGGTCAATTTTAGAATAAGTGTGATATGGTGCTGAGAAGAATGTACATTCCGTTGATTTGGTGTAGAGAGTTCTGTAGATGTCTATTAGGTCTGCTTGGTCCAGAGCTGATTTCAAGTCCTGAATATCCTTGTTAATTTTCTGTCTTGTAGATCTGTCTAATATTGACAGTGGGGTGTTAAAGTCTCCCACTATTATTATCTGGGAGTCTAAGTCTCTTTGTAGGTCTCTAAGAGCTTGGTTTATGAATCTGGGTGCTCTTGTATTGGGTGCATATATTAGCTCTTCTTGTTGCATTGATCTCTTTACCATTATGTAATGCCCTTCTTTGTCTTCTTTGATCTTTGTTGGTTTAAAGTCTGTTTCATCAGAGACAAGGATTGCCACCCTTGCTTTTTTTTTTTCTTTCCATTTGCTTGGTAAATATTCCTCCATCCCTTTATTTTGAGCCTATGTGTATCTTTGAACATGAGATGGGTCTCCTGAACACAGCACACCGATGGGTCTTGACTCTTTACCCAATTTGCCAGTCTGTGTCTTTTAATTGGGGCATTTAGCCTGTTTATATTTAAGGTTAATATTTATATGTGTGAATTTGATCCTGTCATTATGATGCTAGCTGGTTATTTTGCCCGTTAGTTGATGCAGTTTCTTCATAGTGTCAATGGTCTTTACAATTTGGTATGTTTTTCAGTGGCTGGTACCAGTTTTACCTTTCCATGTTTAGTGCTTTCTTCAGGCGCTCTTGTAAGGCAAGAACCCGGTGGTGACAAAATCTGTCAGCATTTGCTTGTCTGTAAAGGATTTTATTTCTCCTTTGCTTATGAAGCTTAGTTGAACTATAAACCCCTGACTGGGGCTGCTGCTTTTATTTCAGAGATGTTCTGCCCAGAGATGAGGAATCTAGAGAGGCAGTCTGGCTACAGTGGCTTTGCTGAGCTGCGGTGGGCAGTGCCTAGTTGGAAGTTCCTGGTGGCTTTGTTTACACTGTGAGGGGAATACTTCCTACTCCAGCCTCAGTAATGGTGGATGCCCCTCCCCCCACCAAGCTCAAATGTCCCAGGTGGACTTCAGACTGCTGTGCTGGCAGTGAGAATTTCAAGCCAGTGGATCTTAGTTTGCTGGGCTTTCTGGGGGTGGGATCTGCTGAGCCAGACCACTTGGCTCCCTGGCTTCAGCCCCTTTTCCAGGGGAGTGAACAGTTCTGTCTCGGAGGTTCCAGGTGCCACTGGGGTATGAAAAAAAACTCCTGCAGCTAGCTCAGTGTCTGCCCAAATGGCTGCCCAGTTTTGTGCTTGAAACTCAGAGCCCTGGTGGCCTAGGCACCTGAGGGAATCTCCTGGTCTGCGGGTTGTGAAGACAGTTGGAAAAGCATAGTATCTGGGCCAGAGTACACTGTCCCTCATGGCAGGGTCCCTCATGGCTTCTGTCGGCTAGAGAAGGGAGTTCCCCGACCCCTTGCATTTCCTGGGTGAGGTGACGCCCCATCCTGCTTCTGCTCACCCTCCGTGGGCTGCACCCACTGTCCAACGAGTCCCAATGAGATGAGCTGGGTACCACAGTTGGAAATGTAGAAATCACCTGCCTTCTGCATTGATCTCGCTGGGAGCTGCAGACTGGAGTTGTTCCTATTCAGCCATTTTGCCCCTCTCCTTTTTTGTTTTTTGAATTTAACTCAGGTTCTAATTGTCTCTTTTGATTTTGTCCCAGTGGTCCTTATATTTTTTTCCATGTAATTATACCACCTCTGAGTACAGATATTTTCATAGTTGTACATAGTTTAACTGTCTAAGAAATAAGAAGTGTTATGGAAATTAACAACTTTAGAAAACAAGACCAACTGGTGACATCTCTGCAATGTTTCCTCAGGGTGTCAGGAAAGAGCCCTGGGCTGGAAGTCTACAGACTGGAGTTTGAGCCACTGCGTCATCATCATCTGGCTTGATTTTACTGGCAAAGCATTTTCATACTTCTGTGCCTCAATTTCTTTATTAATAATGACTTTCAGGAGCCTTACTGTATCTGACATTCTATAAGGATTGGGTTGCTTTACTCCCTGTTTTCTCCTATTCAGGGCAATATTACCAAATATAAATATATTAGTGGCTAAAGTAATAAAATCAGAGGAGGTTGCATTTGTGGTACCTCATGCATGACCTTTGAATTAAAAGAGTCTTCAGTCGGAATCCAAGTCCTGCCACATGCTAGCTACGAGAGTGGGGGTGATGGGAAATGAACAGATAGTTCTCTAAATTTTGGTTTACTTACTGTCAAACAAGGGTTTGGACTAGAAGTTATTCTAAGGTTCTTATCCTAAGGTATGTTTCTAGGATTTTAAAAGTATTTGGAAACTGGCAGAGCTTTGATGCCACTTTTTGTTAGTGTTTGTGGGCCACATCTCTGAAGAGTGGCCTAGGCCCAGACATGGCTGGATTTCTCCTCTCCTGATTGTCCACTTCTGATTCACATTGTGTAATTCATCCCAATGGCCAAAGGGACCTGAAAATTGAGGCAACGACATAAACCATCGTCAACACACTAGAAGATGAGAAGCCCATCTGACCTGTGTTGAGTATGAGGAAGTTGAGCCCAGAGAAGTTTGGCTGATTCTGGTCCAGGCCACAATGAGAAGGAAAGTCAGTTTGTAATGTAATTCAGAATTTAAGTTCATTTTCCTCACCATGTTGGATGACATTTTAAGAAAGTTGGGATATAGAAGTTGTTCCCAAGGTGGAATGCCTGGCCAGGTTTTCACGAATTCATTCCTGCATAGGTGGGCAGACGAGGGAAAGCAGGAGGGGAAGTAGAAGTTCAAGTAACTTTCTATTGGGATCTGGGAAGAAGTTGCACTATTGTGTGGCTTGGGCTCATCTGCTGGGTTGCCAGGGTGATCTGTGGGCTGGCTGCAGGGAGCATGGGATCCAGGTTAGCAGCTGGCTCTTTCACTGGCTGAGGCTTGGACAGGTTATTAAGTTCCCATTCCATATTCTCATCTGCAAAGTTGGGGAAATAATAACCCCCATCAATGGGGCTTAGAATAGGTAAAGCCCCATTGCATGGTACCTGGCAATCAGCAAATTGTGGTTGTAGCTTTTGATATTATTACCGATTATTGTAATTTTAAAACCAGCCTGATCTGCAGAGCAGAGAGGGCACTTGAAAGAGTGCTTCCTTAAGCTCTCAGCAGGAGTGGGGTGTCATTTTCAAGACCCTGTGGTTGAGGCTGTTTGGTGCTCAGGCTCTGCCACAAGGTGCATGCCCAGGTACCTCTTTCCACAGTCTTCATGTATTAGTCTCTTAAAACTCTTCCCCAGGTGATATGGTTTGGCTCTGTGTCCCCACTTAAATCTCAACTCAAATTGTAATCCCTACTTGTCGAGGGAGGAGCCTGGTGGGAGGTGGTTGGCTCATGGGGGTGGTTTCCTCCATGCTGTTCTTGTGATAGTGAGTGAGTTCTCACAAGATCTGATGGTTTACAAGTATTTGGCAGTTCCTCTCATTGCTCTTTCTCTCTCCTGCCTCCATGTGAAGAAGGTCCTTGTTTCCCCTTCGCCTTCCACCACAATTGTAAGTTTCCTGAGGCCTCCCCAGCCACACAGAACTGTGAGTTGATTAAACCTTTTTTCTTTATAAATTACCCAGTCTCACATAGTTCTTTAAAGGAGTGTGAAAACTAACTGATCCACCAGGTTACCAGTGGTGTGCATGCTAGGGGCTGCCAAACCTCCCTGACTCCCTCATATGCCCCTGTTGGAGAACACAAACTACTAACAGATATTTCTAATAACTACTTGAGGTGTACACTCTAGGCAGATTCAAACTCTCTCACTAAAACCCATCTATGAAAGCAACACAAGCCTGACCACCCAGATTTTTCTGGAGCTCCATTCCCAGAGATTTCCTGCAAAGTCCTGGGACTTTGAAACAACATTGTCAGTGGGAAGCTGGGAAGTCTCAGGGCCTGGGTAATCCCAAATAGCTAAAGGATGGAAGCCATGGCTGGGCAGTATTTTTATGGTTACCAGCTCCCTTGAAAAGTGAGGTGAAGGATAAGCAGCCTTAGGTCCAGCCAAGGCTGGCAGCAACCTTGAGAGAGCAAACCCAGACAGATGTCCAGAGCTGGACAGAGATAATGGTGAGAAGACAGTGAGTGAGGAGGGGGCAGTGGATCCGAGGAAAGCCCGGGTGAAGTTACTTGGTTCACCCTAGACTGCGTGGACTACCCCTCCTTGTTATCCCTCACATTGCATTTGGGCTTTCTGACACCATTCTCCAGGATGCTCCAAAGTAGATAGGCCTTACAGTCATATTCAATTCAACAAACATTTATCAAATGCCTCCCCTGCCCCTGGTGCTTGCTAGGCACAGGGTTCGGAATTGGAAGGTAGTTCTCCCCTCGTGGAGTTCAGACCCTGGACACCCCTCCCCACTGTGTAACCTTGGGCAGCACACTCAGCCACACTGAGCTTTCCTTTCTTCTTTTGTCCACTGGGGGCAATTGTGTGTACCTCAGGGGTGGCTGTAAGGATTGTATGAGATGAAACACTTAAAATGAGAGGCGCATAAAAGATGCTCAATACATGGTGCCTTTGCTGCACCTGTTCTCCTGTACCATCCTTCTTCAAAGTTCTCTTTAATATGAATTTCTAGCAGAGTTCACCTGGCTAAACAGAAGGATCTTCATGTATAAATTTCTCCTGGGATTGGGGAAGGCTCTGTGAGTATGTGTGTCCAGGTTTAGTTTGCAGCATTTGTTTGGACACCTGAAGCGCTATGGTTTTTAAGTGAGATGAAATCATGTAGTGAAGAGAGTTCTTTAAATTGAACCTCATTACATGAAACCTTTTAGTGTTCAGAGGAAAAAAATGGAGATTTTGGTAATTAAATTTGATATTTCAAACAGGAAACTTGTTTCATTGGACTTGCATGGGCAATACCATTTTTTATATAAGTAGCTCTTGCTAAAGTATTTTTTGGGGGGGCACTTGAATTATAGTAAACTCTATTTGACTAACCTAAGACCTGCTGTGGAAACCTGGATTTAAATATATGATAAAATTTGGAAATATTTTATCACATCTATAGCTTATTTGATTTGGAAATATATTTATTTCATATATAGATTATTTGTATTTTACATCCCAATAAGCATATGTGCATTGTTTTTCTTTAACAGGGCTTTTACTACTTTTTTCCTATATTCTGATTCTTTATTATGTTAATTTGAAGCAGGCATAGACTAGGAGAATTAAGCTTAAGACTTTTCTTTTTATAATGTTTAACTCTCAGATGGTGAGTCTTGGCTGGTTCATATATGTGACATTTAGTCTTTTGAATACAAGTAGATGTCTTGTATGTTTGAGTCGTCTTAGTGATTGAAATAAGTTTTTTCTTTTTAAAAAAATATTAATTACCCCATGGTCAAGATTATTGCAATTTACTCTACACCTTTTCTTCAATTTTTTTCTAATGCTGTTAGTTATTCCCTTTATTGAAAAGATCTGTCTTTCTTATAAAATAATCATCTTTGATAAGACACACTTTGGTAACCACTATATATTATGGTAGCCATTTTTAAGCAAACAATTGATTTTAGATGGGGCTCTTGGTCAGTGTACTGTTTTTCTGGGCCATTCCAAATAGAGGGAGGAGACTGAGAGAGGAAGAACCATTCTGAAGGCCCGGAAGAGCACCTACACTTGACATTTCTGAGAATGACTGTGATAACTGTGAGTAATTCTGGTGAATCTTATGACAGGAGGACAGTTTTGAGAACTGACTCAGCTTCATTTTCTTTCATTTTGTTCTAAAAACACCTGAAGCTCTTTGTAGAGGAATGTGTGAATCGCTATGCCTGATGTCCGCGTAGTGTCCTGTCCAGCACCCTTCACACCGGAACTATTATAATCAAGTTCCTCGAATGAAGCATGACTTGCAAGTTGAATTCCAAAAAGCTTCCGGGATATTCAGGAAGGAGGAGGGTCAATCTTTCAGTAGATTTGCTCCACTTTCCAAATTTACCTCCAGATGCAGACTAGATGGCCAAAAGGTCAAACAACACACATTTCAGGCTGGTTGGGCTTGACTGTTTTGGGATATTTGTTCACAAAAGATGTTTTCAAGGGAATAGTAGATCAAAACATGGGATATGTCAATATCAAAGTTTTCTATTATGTGGATTTAAGTTTCAATGAATAAACCTGCTGCTTTAGTTTTTGGAGATGGCGCAGGCCAGTTACAGTTGTACATGGTGGTAGTGTTGGCCTGAGAAGGTGGAGTTGGTTTTATGAACCTGCTCACCCCCATGCCTGTTCTCCAGGGCAGAGCAGTCTGCTGGTGATGTCTCTTTGCATGCCAATTACCATAGGATTCTGACTTGTCTGCCAGGGTGCACCCTCTGCTGGAACAAAAGAATAATCATTGCCTCCAAGAACAGACTTAGAATGTGACCCCTTTCAAAGCAATCATCTCTTCTTCCTTATCAGCATTTTTTTTTTTTTTTTTTTTGAGATGGAGCTTTTTTCTTGTCACCCAGGCTGGAGTGCAATGGCATGGTCTTGGCTCAGTGCAACCTCCACCTCCTGGGTTCAAGCAATTCTCCTGCCTCAGCCTCCCAAGTAGCTGGGATTATAGGTGCCTGCCACCACGCCTGGCTAATTTTTTTGTATTTTTAGTAGAGATGGGGTTTCACTATGTTGGCCAGGCTGGTCTTGAACTCTTGACCTCAGGTGATCTACCCGCCTTGGCCTCCCAAAGTGCTGGGATTACAGGCATGAGCCACTGCACCCAGCCCCCTACCAGCATTTCTATGTGATAAGCAGCCCCCCAGACTGTTGAAGATGGCTTTTCACAGACATGAAATTCACTAGTCCTTCCAAGCATGGCTCCTTTCTGGAGAGTTTGGGGTTTTGGGAAGCCTTGAGAGTCTCCAGGGTTTTGTGGGTTGGATAACTCAATATCTTCCAGGAGGCGGAAAGGTTAAGACACCAAATTCATGTTGCTACACAATTAAACATCAATACACGTAGCTGAAGCACTTTAAACTGCGGCGTCGGAGTTTTTTGAGGGTGAGCCCCTCCACCATAATACGCTGCAATCTTTTTTGGGTTGTCTCCCTGCCCCACTTCCCCAGCCAAATATGAAGGCAGAAACAACATTTCTAACATGCCACACCTCACAGCAAGTAGAAGCAGGACCGGAGAGACTGCAAACGACTTTACTTACCTAGATCATCCTCTATGAATCTATCTCAGTTCTAACCACTGTTTATTTCATTGAGAGCACTCTGTTTATTTTGTTTAGAGATAAGATTCTGGACCCTTGCAAGAGAATTTTATTGTTTCCAATAAAGAATGTTTTAGGTGCTCATTGTTTCTTTTTCTATCTTTTTTTTTTCTTTCTTTCTTTCCTTTTTTTTTTTTTTTTTTTTTTTGAGTATTGCTCTGTCACCCAGGCTGGAGTGCAGTGGAGCAATCTCGGCTCACTGCAACCTCCACCTCCCAGGTTCAAGCGATTCTCCTGCCTCAGCCTCCCAAGTAGCTGGGACTATAGGCACACACCACCATGCCGGGCTAATTTTTGTATTTTTAGTAGAGATGGGATTTCACCATGTTGGCCAGACTGGTCTTGAACTCCTGGTCTCAAGTGATCTGCCCTCTTAGGCCTCCCAAAGTGCTAGGATTACAGGTGTGAGCACACATGCCCAGCCTAGGTGCTCATTGTTTCTTTACAATGTTTTATGTTAAATATTAAGAAAAAAAGACTAAATAATGGACACCTATGTATCTGCAAATACGCATTCAGTTGTCTTTAATAATCCTTTGCTAATCTTGCTTCAGATGGATTAAGTGTGCGTGCCTGTGTGTGGTGTGTGTTTTACATTACAGATTAGAACTTAGGTCCTCTGGATTCACAACCCCGAATCCCATTTGTTTTTCTTCCTTTCCAAAGTTGTCATTATCGTGAATTTGGTGTTTAGCTATCCCATGCATATTTTTACACTACTGCTATAACATATGTAGTTATAAAATAGCATTGTTTTGTATGCTTTAAAACTTTATTTAAATGGGACCAACTGTTTATATTATCCTGATCTTCTTTCCCTTATCAACAGTATGCTTTTGTGATTTATCTGTGATGTTCCATATAGGTCAAATTCTTTCATTTTTATTGCTTTATAATATTTCATCATATGAAAATATCATGATTTATTTATCTATTTCCCTATTGCTAGAAATGCATGTCATTTTAAACTTTTTACTATTATCAATAATGTCACAATGAACATTGTTGTGACTCTTATGTGCTTTATTAGATGTTACCAGGTTAGTCTCCAAAGTGATTGTACAAATTTTTACTCTTACTTACTGTGTATGAAAGCTCCAATATTCATATACCCTTACATCGAAAATTATAAAACTTTTAAATTTTTGTTAATATTATGACATGGAATTATATTTTATTATTTTAATTTAATTAAAATTTTTCTGATTACTAGAGAAGATTGAACCTCTTTTCATTTTATTACCATTTGGATTTCCTTTTCTGAATTGTTTGTTCATATTTCCCTAGTTTTGATTAGAGATATTTATATTTTTCTTATTGATTTGTAGAAATTCCTTATAAATCATCAGATGCCGTTTGTAGAAACCTCTTTTTAGTTATAAAAATACCCACCTCAGAGAAAATTAGAAAATATAGAAAAAAAAGTCACCCAAAATTCTACTATCTTTAACCAAAACATTGATTCATTTAGGCCCATTTGCTGCTAGTCTGTTTTTTTCCTATGATATTATTGTCATTGTAAGTATAATGCACACATGGTCTATATCCTGCTTTTATCAATTAATATATCTAAATTTATTTTTTGATGCTTCTGTATGGCTTTTGTAGCCATCATTTTAAACAGAAGTATGCTATATCATTGAGTATTTCTGTCATTTATTGTTAAACATTCAAGTTGCTTTTAAATTTTCAATTTGTAAGTAACATTATGAAGAAATACTTTCTGTCTAAAATGTTTTGATAATTTTATATTATTTTCTTAGATTAAGTTCACAGAAGTCAGGTTATGGGCCAAAGGGGATATAAATTTTTTATAAAGTAAAATGCATTGTTAAATATTAAAAGTAAAAATATTACTTAATCAATGCTGGCAATCTAAGAAAGCAGGGTTCAAGAAGACTCAAGGGAGTCCAGCATAAGTCTAAGTATCTAAGTCACCTTTGGCAGAGGGAAAACAAAAATACTTTGGTTTCTCTAGTCACCTTTCTGACCCAAAGCACCATTCATTACAGGCATTTTCTTTCTTGCATTTGCAACTTTTTGGCTTTAAAAGAAAAAGATAATTTTCCAGAGCTAAAGCATAACACTTACAAGCTTAATAATTATAAATAAAATTTTACTGATTCTTAAACACTTATAAGGGAATGTGGTTCATTAATTTCGGGACATGAAATTGGTTATACAAGTAAAGGTAGAAATGCTGCCCTGAGCATTGGGTGACTGTCTTATAGAACATGGGCATCTCAGCACTGCTTGGTAGGGCTTTTATGTTTATATGATTTACTTTTTGGCATTAGTGGTATAATAAAAGTTTCAGATTATCCTGTATGAAAAAAACATTTATTTGAAAATATGTAATACATCTAGTCCTGAATGTATGACCTATATTCGAAAAGTTCCTTTACAAGTCAGTTAATTAGAACTCAGAAAGCATTTTCCCTTGGAAGTAATATTGTAAGTGGTGGTGTGGTTTCCAGACTGGCACATAAAAACCCATTTAATCTGTCGTATAT
The DNA here is from genome assembly GCF_000001405.40 of Homo sapiens. Classification (NCBI taxonomy): domain Eukaryota; kingdom Metazoa; phylum Chordata; class Mammalia; order Primates; family Hominidae; genus Homo; species Homo sapiens. The sequence goes on along the minus strand of NC_000003.12, from coordinate 169,559,774 downwards.
CTGTAGTATCGCCCTGGTTTCAAATCTAGTTTAGCCACAGTCCATTTGGGTGATCTTAGGCACTTACGTTACTTAAATTCCTAGTCTATAAAATGAGGAGAAGGTGTTTGTGAGGACTATTTTAGATAATGTGTATGAAATGCTTTATGAAGTATAAAATGCTGCATAAAAGTGGCAGATATATTGTTTTCACCCACCAAACAAATAACTGTTAAAGGGCAGAACATGGTATATCACTGGAGCTTCAAAATGGAAAGTGTACACCCCAGGAGGTGTGCAGGTGTGGAGTTTACAGACGTATAGTAGAATGCCTATGTATATTATTTCTTTCTTATCCTAGTATTATTTTTTGTGAGTTTGCATCACAGCAGAATACCTATATAATTTGTAAATACATACACACACACATACATGATGAATATGCTCATGATAATTTTTAATGTATTGTTTGACCAAGACAGTTTGGAGCCCACTAGTTCATTTATATCTTCACCCAGTCAAGAATATAGAGCCCGGCTATGAAAAGTGATATAAATTAAATAGATAAACCAAGTTTATATGATCTTCATTTATAACATTATTTCTATGCAAAGTGTACCTCATGTAACTCTAGCTTTGACAATACAATGTCTTTTGGCATCCAAACTTCGCCCCTGCTAGTGGGTTGTTGGCAGTCCTAGCTTAGGAGATTCTGGGTATGCATACTTGTGTGTGTGTGTGTGTGTGTGCGCGTGTGTGTGTATAGTGTGTGTGTGTGTAGATGCTTTGAGAAGACAGAGGATTGTAGAATATCAGTAACTTTATACATTAGCATGAAAAATGATGAGAAGATAGTTCTCTCTGACTGGGTCTATCATCATTCATTATTGTTTTTTTCTAGATGTCTGGGGTTGAGAGGGAATCTAGATGCTTTTTTCCCAAAGGTTTAAGCATTGGTAAGTTGAATACTTCTGACCGATGATTCCTGGAATCTTAAGGATGAGAGTAGGAGGATAAAGAGAATTGTAGCAGCTGTTTCTTTGTAGTTACTGATTTTAGACTCCTGAATCAGGAAAAGTATACAATTGAAAAAATTATTAAAGCAGTGTATTGAAAACTGTCAAAAGGCCTCATTGTTATTTCATGTAAGTCAGTTTTCTGGGCTGAGGCCCAGATGGCTAAGTGGGTGCTGAGATACTCGCTGGATAAACAATGATATACAATTAATGCAACAAAGGAGATTTGTGCCAATTATTTCCAGAACCAAAGGCCAGTGAAATACTTTAATTTTATCACACACATCTATTTTGGCAGTGAGCACTTAGAGTTTTATAGGAAAAGGTAAGCCATGCCTTGGGGTCCGAAAGAGAATGGGCGTCTACTGGTGAGGGTTCCATGATATGGAAAACACTAGAAAAACAGCAGGATGGAGGTGAATTATAATAGATTTGACATAAGTGAGCAAGACTAAATACGTTTTGAAAGCAGTGGGCCATTCAGTTATTTCTTTTATTTTTCATATTTTTCTCGACTCTGCAAAATAATAAGAAACAAAAGAAAAATCTGCTGAATGCCTAGTCATAGTTTATTGGAGCAGGAAAATAAGCCATTCCAAACCATTCTCTGATTTGCTGTGAGTGGCAGAATCATTCACCGTGGTGAATCATAGCAGGGAGAACCATTTGGAATGATTATTTTCTGATGTTAAATTGCAAATGGCACAAGTGGAATCAACAAAGGTATGAATTATTTTAAAAAATCTTTTAAAAAATCCTGTTATTGAAAAATATGTATTTGTATGACCAGCTTATGACTTCATTTCACTAGCTTATAACTTCATTTCACAGTAGCCAAGCCTTAAGTACATATCTGTTTGTTATTACATTTGGCTAATTGAAAGCCTTTCTAGTTAATATTTTTATGTAAGAAATAGTATTATTGTCCTAGAAGCTGCATGATGGTTATAATGGTGGGGATAAATGTGTATATGTAAACATTTGGTCCAACCAACTAGGTTGAAGAAAAAGTGTGTTTCTTGCCTTGCCTACAGTGAATAAGGAACCTGTTGGCTGATCTACAAACAAAATAAACTGAGGGATTAGCCCTACCTGGGTGAAACTTGTTAGTGATATGCAAATGGTTTATCATTAATATAATAATAGGCACTATTTAGTACTAATCCTTTGAGAATCTCTGATGGTGTAGACAATATACCTGATGCTTAAGATGAAATATCATCTGCCTCCAGTATTCCACGAGTTGTTTTTGTTGAAAAGCTTCAGGTTGCCTGGCCCTTTAAGGCAAATCTCTGGTGTTCAAATTGGTGAAGTAAAAAGATATTTTATGCTCCAGTGTCTGCTTTGTGTGAATACTTAATTTTAAGAGGGTAGAGTGAAGTGTTTCTATTTAAATTTAGGGGGAACTATGAGGGTGGGGTGGTGACTACATTCCATGAAGTTCCCTTTTTTTTCCTTTTAATAGGAGGCCCTGGACTCAGCTCAATGGTTAGCTTCAGTTTTTAGTGGCCTTAAAAACTGCTTTTGACAGGAAAGCTGGTTGATTCTTCAGGGGAGGGAACATAGGATTTCAGAAGGGGCACATTCCCTTGCTATCTGTAACATTAGGTACCCTGACTGTACACAGAGGGCACCCAATGTATACTCTATGAGTGATTGAATACATATTTAAGACAGGACTTGCAGCATTTCCGGCCTGAGAGCAATGAGGTGGGGTTGTAATTGTGTAGATCTGGGCACATTCTTGGCACTCCTTACACCATGTCCTGGGAGTGGATACTTTTAGCCCCTGTACTAATTATTGCTGTGTGACAAATTTTCCCTAAATTTACAGCTTTAAACAATAAAATTTTTTATTTTTTATTTTTTAGATTCTACGGGTCAGGAATCTGGGAGCTGGCATAACAGTGTGGTTGTAGCGTAGGGTTTCTTCCAGGGTTGCAATCCAGATATTGCTGGGGACTACCGTCATGTGAAGGCTGGGGAACATATGCTTCCAAGCTCATTCACAGAAGCCCTCAGTTCCTTGCCACTTGGGTGTCTCTATAGGGCTGTCATGACATGGCAGCTGGCCTCCCCTCAAGGGAGTGATGTGTGTGGACACATGCTGCTTTTTATGACCTTGTCTCTGGGTCACACACTGACACTTCTCTTTATTTTCCTTGTTAGAATTGAGTCACTGAATCCAGCTCACACTCAGTAGGAGGGGATGACGCAGGGGTGGGACAACCAGGAGGTGGGGATCACTGGTGCTATCTTAAGAGTCTGGCTACCACAACCCCTTTCAGTAAATTTTGTTCAGTTACCCAATGACTCAAGATATTATGAAGATCTGCTTGAAATATTTCATTACAGAAATTTGGTTCCCCTTTACTTCACCTTCAACAAAGTCATTCAAGTATCTTTCTCAGCCCAAATCCAGTAGATCAGAGGGTCGTATTCAAAACATCACTACCACCACCACCATCCACTGGTGGGAGCCCCGAGTCAGCCTGGGGAGGAAATAAAGTCATTCAGTGGAATTACATGAGATTAAGGTGCTGGCTTCAGTTCTGTTCCCACAAAATACATGTCCTTGTTGTAGGAATAAGTAGCTTTAATTGGCCATCAAAGGAAAGTTACAAGGGGAAAAGACTATTGTACATGACATCCTCAATCTGAGACCTGGTCTCTCTTTTGAAAGGAGTTTAAAGAACTTGTCATTTCACTAACCAAAAAGAACTCCACTTACAATCCACATTTTCTCAACTACAAAAGATGCTTGCTGTAAGTAAATCTAGTTAAAATATGAAATAAAACAAAAAGTACATAAGGTTTAGACCACTGATGTTCATGACTTAGTCCCCCATTTTATTTTGTTTTAAAAAGCTCAGTTTTCAGAGATCGTTTAGATGCCACTGACTTTAAAATGCCAGTCCGCCAGGGTGAAGACACAGGCTGCGTGTTGGGAGAAGATAAGTGATGAATTGCTTTTATACGATATGTTCCAACAGGTATTAAAGTATGTTTAAGGAGCCCAGGAAGTAGGGCCATATTAAAGGATGTGTTTTGTATTTTAGTGAGACTCTTGGGAGCTGGAGGTAACCAGAGAAAAATGGTACCTCGAAAACTTGGGAGACACCTTCTGAGAACAGGACACAGACAAGGTCAGGCTGGGCATTCAAGATGTTCAGGCCTTTCTCCTTTGAGACTTGATTTTTTCCTTCATGGTTTTAGGCCTACAGTGCAATTATTTTACATTGTTAGACCCCTGTTTGGATTAAAGCTTCTTTCTTTTGTAACCAAGTGTAGAGGAAGTCTCTGTAATAGATACTTATTTGGGGGTCTTGGGAGTATTTCTGTTTTCATCTTTATTCTCCATTGGCGGGGGGCTGGCCATTTCCTTCTCTGCCTTCCTTGCCAAAATGCCTATATAACAATTATCACATTTTTCTATGTGCTTTCCTTCTCAGACTGTGAAATCCCCGAGGGAAAAGACTAGATTCTACTAGCCATGTATCCCTAGTCCTTAGCAGAGTGCCTGGCCCATATTAGGTATAAATAATAATGTTGAATGAATGAATGAATGAAGACATGAAGGAAGGAAGGAACAAATAGGCAGGCTGCTGCTTGTATTTCATCACTCAAGCTGTGAATTATATTTCTGGGCCCCTAAAAGAAAATTTTAGATATTTTGGAATGGGTCAGATGCATCTGTTAGAAATATAAATGACATAAAATCATCATACCTCTTCTGGTAAACTTATTTAGAAGTTAAAGATCTGGCCACCTGCATTAGCAGCTCAGGAGAAGTTTAGATTGGCATTTAGATTAGCTGGCTCTGTTATTCAGTGACTTGCATACTTGTTCAAGGGCACTGGAGTCAACCAATGTTTATTTTTGGATTCCCCATTGCTCTCGGGATCACTGCAGCGAAGACTGGTGCCCCCAACCCCCTATTACCTCCTTCACCTTGTTTGTTGTTCCTGGTCCAGGGAGGACTGCAGCCCAGATTCAGCCTGACTAGCTGCTCCTTGGTGCCCTGTTATTTTTAGTATATGAACCACAGCAGCAGCTGGCAACCCTGAGTTGGCCCATACAGGCTTAGTTTTTGTGAGGTTGAAACTATGGGTTTAAGAATATTGGGAATCTCTGGTTTTTATGTCCTTGCATTATCTCATGATAAGTAATATATTATTTTTAACTTTCATCTGTGATGTGCCAATCTTTAACAGTGAAAACTTACACTAAAAGACCTCTGCCTGGTTTTGGATAACTTTGCCTGTATTTTACGCTGAAAGTAAAGAGAATAGGAAGAGAGGACTTTAAAAAATGAAATCATAGTCCTGTGAGGAAATCTTTTTTAAAAATTGAAAACTCTTTAACTTGAATAACAGAAAGCTTTTGGGGAAGACTAGGAGCTCTGAAGGCATAATTGAAGTGATGTTGTTTAATGTAGGCGAACTGCTGTAATAAGCAAATCTCAGCACGTGTTCATTTTTTCCCTCATATAGTGGTCTGATGTAGGCCTCTGTCAATGGTACAGTTGTAAGTTCTGCCCCACTATTTTCAGGGACCCAGGCTTTGTCACTTTTACCATGAGGCTTCTAACATCATCACGGGGGTCAATATCCTGCCAGCAGATGGGGAAACAGCATGGAAGGCCATGAGGTTTCTATGGAGCTGGCCAGGAAGTGGCACACATTTCTTCTATTCAGATGCCACTGGCTGTAGCCTTATGACTGCTTTCCACCTAAATGCAAGGGAGGCTGGGAAATGTAGTGTTAGGACTGAATTGTGACCCTCCCCGCCCTCCCCAGCAACCCTGGCCAAATTCATATATTGAAGCCGTAACCTCCAGTACTCTCAGAATATGACTGTATTTGGAGATAGGCCTTTAAAGAGGGAATTAAGCTAAAAAGAGGCCATTAGGGTGGACCTTAATCCGATCTGACTGATGTCCTTATAAGAAAAGACAATTAGGACACATAGAGAGAGACACCAGAGATGTGTGTACACACAGAGAATAGACCACATGAGGACACAGAGAGAAAGTGATCATCTGCAAGCCAATAAGAGAGGCCGCAGGAGACACCAAACCTGCGAACACCTTCATCCTGGACTTCTAGCATCTGGAACTGTGAGAAAATAAATTTCTGTTGTTTAAGCCACCCCATGTGAAGTATTTTGTAATGGAAATTGTGGCAAGCTAATACATATAATCTACCTATGAGCCCAGGAAAAGGTAGAAACTGACTTAGTGATTAGCTAGCAGTCCCTGCCACAATGTAAAGAGTGCCATTTACTTATCTCTTGCTAATTCATTCAAATGCTCTTATAGGTACTTGGGACATAATGAGCAAAATAGACAAAAATTTCTGCTGTACAGTAGCTTCAGTTTTAGCAGATACTAAAGCAACCAATTACTATCATACCATCCTGCTTTATTTTCTTTTTTTAGCACTTATCACTATCTGAAATTATCATGTTTATTGATTTGCTTATTATCCCCTTCTAAAATGAACAGAACCCCCCTTTTTTATGCTTTATTTTTTAAAAATTCTATTCTTAATGCCTCAAAAATGCCTGGCACATAGGAGGATTTTGATATTTATTTGTTGAGGATTGAATGAGATATCATGAAATTGCATTTCAGGAAAAAAATCATGTAAGGAATGATTTCTTGAGTCTAAGGTAGAATGAACAGAATTTTCTTTTTTTTTTTGTCTTTGAAAAAAGTACCTGGTAGCTGACCTTGTCCTTTAACCTCTGAGGTCATTTCAGTTATTTAATCCTAAAATTCCTACTTGTTGTCTATAAAATATTATAAGTTTAAGGTTTCTGATGTGCACAACACACTAATGATAGGATATTTACCTTGGCATTTTTTTGGTTTGCTTGCTGTATCATGATTTAGTTACAGAATCATGGAGATTCAAAGTGACTGGGGACTTAGGGATGGCACCGCCCCACTTCCTCACTTTAAAAATCAGGAGGAGCAGGCTAGAAGGAAATACTGGTCTTACAGAGCTTGCAAGTGGCAAAACATAGACCAGTCTCTGGATTTGGGCCTGCAGTGACTCACCCAGCACTCTTTCTACAACACTAACCCTTTTCCTATTTGCATTAAAGGTGGATTGAATGGTGGTTAAGAGTGTCAGCTTTGGACCAGGCTGTGTCGGCTTGGATCCTGGCTCCACCACTAACTAGCTGTGTGACTGTGGTAAGCTCTCTGTGCCTCAGTTTCCTCCTATATTAAATAGAGAGAAGAATAGTACTCACCTTATAGAGTTGTTCTTTTAACTCTTTTAGGAGTTAATACATGCAAAGAATTTAGAACAGTGACCAATGTATAGTAAGTATTCAATAAATGTTAGTTGCTATTATTATTATTACTCTTGCTATTTTAAAGTGATTAATTATATAATAAATGGCCAAAGGGCTTTTGTAGGTATAAGAATTTTGATGATGTTATCAAAATATCTATTGACAAAGAAAAAAAGAATGCATAGACTATTAATAGTTTTCATCACACCTGAAGAACTAAACATAAATCCTGACTACGATTTCTTCACCAAGAGGTTTCTCAAATTTCTTTTTATTGTGATATAATTGACATACCATAAAATACCTTTTTAAAGTATACAATTTCATGGTTTTTAGTATATTCACAAAGTTGTATAAGCATTACCACTGTCTGATTCCAGAACATTTTCATCTCCTAAAAAGAAGCCTTTACCTGTTAGCAGTTACTTCTCATTATCCCTCCCTAATCTACTTTCTGTCCCAGTGGATTTGCCTATTCTGGACATTTCAGATAAATGCAATCACACAGTATGTAGCATTTTGGGTCTCTTTTACTTGAAAGCCTAATGCTTTCAAGATTCATCCATATTGCAGCATGTGTCAGAACTCTATTCCTTTTTATGGCTGAATAATTTTCCATTGCATGGATATACCACATTTTGTTTATTCATTATTCATTGAGTGACATTTGTATTGTTTCCATTTTCTAGCTATTATAAATAATAGTGCTGTGAATATTTGTGAACAAGTTTTATGTGGGCATATGTTTTCAGTTCTGCTAGCTGTGGACCTAGCTGTGAAATTGTTGGGTAACATAGTAACTCTATATTTAACTTTTTGAAAAAGTGCCAAAGTGTCTTGAAAAGTGAGCTGCATCATTCCCAAATATTTAAGGTACAATATTTGAATATTAATTTGACCTTGCTTGATTGGAAATGAAAGAGAAGTCATTTGATTCCAATATTCCTAGAAAAGACTCTCAGTTGTTCACAAACACTTCAGAGTATTTGTCTCAGCCCCTGTGATGGGCACTGCGTAAACCAAGACAAATGAAACATAGTTTCTGATTCTGAGGAGTGGATGAGAATTTTTGGCATTTCAAGTTGACTTTTTTTTTTTTTAAAGTGTAGATATTTGTTTTCTTCTTTTATTACTTGTCTTCTCTTTTGGATATCACCACTGGACATTTAGGAAAGACTCTTAATGGGGTACTAGATGTGTTAAGACCTGGAGGGCTGGATGGATGGTGCACATAGAAGTAGACAGCAGATAGGAAGCCAGGATATACAGGATCAAGAGACTCTCAAGTCAGTGGATTATTTAGGTGTAATCAATTGTCAACTCGTTTCATGACTGACAGTGGCTTTCCTCTCCACCACAGACATCACTTAAAAAGGAAAGGGCAGCACTTTGGGAGGCCGAGGCGGGCGGATCACGAGGTCAGGAGATCGAGACCATCCCGGCTAAAACGGTGAAACCCCGTCTCTACTAAAAATACAAAAAATTAGCCGGGCGTAGTGGCGGGCGCCTGTAGTCCCAGCTACTTGGGAGGCTGAGGCAGGAGAATGGCGTGAACCCGGGAGGCGGAGCTTGCAGTGAGCCGAGATCCCGCCACTGCACTCCAGCCTGGGCGACAGAGCGAGACTCCGTCTCAAAAAAAAAAAAAAAAAAAAAGGAAAGGGAACCTGTCTCTCATTTATAAAGACCACATTTGTTTTCCATGACAGAAATCTGATGGAAACTTTCATTTTCACAGAATTACCACCTTGCTTTGGTTTGGGGTCTAGGTAATCATAAAATTTTGTGAGCTGTGGCAAATCGTATATATAATTGTATCCACAGATGTCTAGTTGAAGAAACAAACTTTGAAGGATTTTGTTCTGTTGCTGCCCACTGAAATGCATATTTCTTAAGCACAAGCAGGTAATGCTTTCTTATGTAGAACACTGAAATTTACCAGCACACCTCTTGAGTTCCTTGTGGCGTAGCCTGGTTCTGTTACTTCACTAGAAGCTCTCATATTCATGCTCTGCTGGTAACTTTCAACCACTGTTTTCACTTCTTCACTGAAATGGGTGACAATTACGTTTTCATCTTGGATCAAGAAGTTTGTTTACCTGCTGTGTAAATGGCTGTAAAAATTAGGCAAATGTATTTGTGGAGAGTAAAATGAGCCTTTAACCTTTCAGGAGCCTGTCCAGGTGGAAGTGAGTTAAGTACAGGATGTGAATGGGGTATCTTGGCCTGGAAAAAGACCCAGTAGACATAACTTTGCATTTGCTCGTTTTGTTCAACTTTTCCTTCCTTCTCTGCCTGCCAAAGAAACTGTAATAACTGTAATAATTTTTATGACTTTCTCTTCAATGACAGTTATCTTCCTTTACCCTAATTCCTTCCCTCCTCATCCTTCAAATCCCCTTCCTCATCATTCAAAGTCTAACTCAAGCTAGCCTTTCCTCCTTATTTTCCCCTTATCTTTCCAATCCGTATGGAGATTTCTCACCTTTCCTGATAGAGGTTGCGCCAGAATGGTGAGGATTAAATTGTAATTGCTTTCTAATAGACTGCTGTGTCTGCCCACTAGATTTCAAGCTCTCTAAAGGTCAAAGCTATTTCTTACATTAGTTTTGAATCCGCTTCTGGACAGCGCCACATCCCAGAGGACTTCCTCACTCATAAGCCTATGAGGGTCAAGGCAACAATGTAGGAGCTAGTGATTCTCACAGGAACACTTATTTCAGAAAAGCTATGCTGAAAATCTGGGTTTTAATTTGAACTACTAGGCCTTACTTGGCCTTAAAAAATGACATGTAATCTTTTCTGTGCTGTCCCTTCTCCAAGAAGGTGGGCCTCAGGCAGATGAAGAATCGAGGACACAGGGAAAATCCTGGGCAAGCTGTGGCACTGGGGGAGTGTGGTTTATCCCCCAGAACAATCTAAGGCAGTCCACACCTGCTGCTTCATGACTAGGGTTTCAAAGCTTTGAGAACTGGCATAGGCAAAGCTTGTCTTTTGGTATCAGGATAAGTTTCAGTGGATTTAAAATGTGTTGTAATCAGATTTAAGTCCAGAAAGCTTTTTTTTTTTTTTCTTTACTTACAGTGAAACTCTCTCTTTAATGCTGTTTGGTCAAATAAACATCAACAACCACGTTCAAGTTTCTTGGTCACTCCTGAATCCTTTCTTTTAAGTGGGAGTGGGAAGTTATACAGAGACAAGTGTCGGCCGGGCACGGTGACTCACACCTGTAATCCCAGCACTTTGGGAGGCCAAGGTGGGTGGATTACCTGAGGTCAGGAGTTTGAGACCAGCCTGGCCAACATGGTGTAACCCTGTCTACTAAAAATACAATAATTAGCTGGGTGTGGTGGCATGCGCCTGTAGTCCCAGCTACTCGGGAGGCTGAGGCAGGAGAATCACTTGAACCCGGGAGGCGGAGGTTGCAGTGAGCTGAGATCGTGCCACTGCACTCCAGCTTAGGCAACAGAGTGAGACTTCGTCTCAAAAAAAAAAAAAAAAAAAAGAGAGACAAATGTCAGTTTTACGTGTTTATGGCCCAGTTATGGAATACCCACGTTATTTAAGCTCTCTAGGTATCAGTTACCACATTTGTAAGAAGGAGAAAATGACATGTACCTATTATAATTAATGAGAGTACCCAGTGCCTAACATATGTAAACCTATAACCTAAAATGGAGCACAGAATAAAACAGAGCTTAATTAATCACACTTGTCTCTCCTCCTGTTCTTTTGGCCTGAATGATGGAGAGAGGGCTCCAGCAAGCAGGGACATCTACCTTATCTCCTCTAGTATTTACACGTCTGCATTCAAAGGGGATGCAGACCTCTCTATTGTCCCTTTCATGAACTGTAGTATGCCTCTCAAGTCATCAAACTATCGGCCTGAATAAAGGAAAAAACAAGGAAGATGTTGCAGGAGGTTTATTCCCTTCTGTAAAAGAGTGTTAAGGTTTTAGCTCCCTCTTACTTTTTAGAGCTTGTGTTCCAAGAAACTGAAAATGCTTTATCTTTGCTGCAGCTATTAATTGCGTACCTATGAATCATATAGGGCCAACCAATTATGACTGCTGCTTTTCTTTACTTTGCAAGTGGGAGATTAAGGGAATGAAAGGAAAAAAGACCACTGCCAAACCATCTGGCTGTGTCTACTTGCACATGGGTTCTTCCTGAATTAAGTAAATAGAGAAAAAGGTGGCATTCTAAAAATAAACCACTTCAAATTAGGTTTTTAAACCACAAAATCAATTTCACAGTATTTTTAAAGTTTTTCTTTCTTTTTTTTTGTGTGTGTGTGACTTCCTTTGATATGTAGACAAATCATTAGTTAGTAGTTAATTTAAGACTTGAGTAAGGTCTAGTTTCTTATGTTTTAATAAGCGATATATTTTATTTTTTCTGAAAGGGGAAAAGATAATGAAATTGGGTTGGAAAGCCTTTAATACATTGGTACTGATGTCTCCATCAAAGAAAATAGTAAATAAAGTTCTGGAGGCCAGACGTCCAAAATCTAGGTGTTTGCAGAGTTTGTTCCCTCCTGGAGGCTCTGAGGCGAGTCTATTGTGTGCTTCTCTCCTATTAATGGCTTTTGGTGGCTGCTGGCAACCCTTGGCATTCTCTGGCTTGTGGCTGCATGACTCCTGTCTCTGCCTCTGCCTTCTCATGGCCTTCCCTCTGGATCTCTGGTCTCCAGTTGCCCTCCCCTTTCTCTTATAAGGGCCCTGGTCATTGGATTTAGGGCCCACCCTAAATCCAGGATGATCTAGTCTTGAGATCCTTAAATTAATTACATTGGCAAAGATTATATTTCCAAATATGGTATATTCACAGGTACTGGGAATTAGGACTTGAACATATCTTTTTGGGAGACACCAATCAATCCATTACAATGATAACATAGGGTCAAAGCTATTAAATAACTTCCCAAAGAAGGTCAGAGAGTGGCAGAGGTGGAGTATGAACCCAGATTAGTTTGCCTCCAAAGCCCATACTTGTTCTTCTGAGAACATGACCACTGCTTATACACACATATGGCATGTATGGGTAATGTATTAGACCATTCTCACACTACTATAAAGAACTACCTGAGACTGGGTAATTTATGAGGAAAGAAGTTTAATTGACTCACAGTTCCATAGGTTGTACAGGAAGCATTGCTGGGAGGCCTCAGGAAACTTACGATCATGGCAGAAGGCTAAGAGGAAGCAAGCACATCTTACCATGGTGGAGCAGGAGAGAGAGAGCGAGACAGCACAAAGGGGGAAGTGCCACATACTTTCCAACAACCGGATCTCATGAGAACTCACTATTATGAGAACAGCAAGGGGGAAATCTACCCCATGATCCAATCACCTCCCAACAAGTTCCTCCCTCAACACTGGGGATTACAATTCAACATGAGATTTGGGTGGGGACACAGAGTCAAACTATATCAGGTAGCATGACCATCTTTGAGAATACAGAGTCTTTAATAGGATGTTGACCATTTTTATTTTTCTGCCTTTATAAAAAATTTATACTGTGTTGGAAGTAATTGAACTGTGACTATATGTCATAATTAATATAGTTGAATTCATGTTCTTTCAACAGCTCCATCACATATTGGATAGCTCTAGGAACCCCCTTTGGATTTGGAGATAGTACATACCAGAAACCAATTTGAAAAGTTCAAAAAGTTCAAAAGTAGAGTTAAAAACAAACACTTTTATAACAAACCTAGATTGTATTGTATTTTTTTTCCTTCCTTTCTCTTTCTTTCTTTCTTTCTTTAGAGATGGGGAAGTAGAACACCTAATAGCCAGTTTGTACTAACTTGTCTCATGTTTTGGGTTGTTTGGATACAGTCCAACACACTACCAGGAGAGCTGCATCTTGAAGTGGCCAGTGCCACATGCCATTATTCTTTCCGTAGGAGGCAGGGCATGTGCAAACTCTGTGGGCCTGCCAAGGTCAGATGTGTACATTGGACCAGTCACTTCACCACTTTAAATATTACTTTCTTCATATGTTAGGTGAGGGGAGTTGATTTAGGTGAGTTTTAACTTTTCTCTTTTTCTACCAATAATATGTGCTTTTAAAAGCCCCTTCCATCCCAACACATACTTGAATATTTATAGAAAATTGTATATTTTACAGTCATGTTGTAAAGAAAGCCATTAATATATTTTTAGAAAATATGTTAACATATACAGGGATTTTATTCCTGTGTTATTCTTACTTAAGGTAAATTAAGAGATAGACAGGAATTGCCACGACTGCAGAAGAGCATATATAGAGTAAGATACAGTTAGGCTCTTATATATACAATTTTAAAAGAATTAGAAATAAAGGATCATAGAATCTATATTTTGGTAGGAAAACAAGTTGAATTAAACTAAAAAGCCAATTATTGGCTCAGTTCAATAATACATTAAAGAATAATAGCTTCATTTAGTTCCCTTACAGTAATCTCTCTTCAACCTAGCGCTTCCTTTACATGAAGCTTTACTTTTGAATATAACTTTCACTATGGGAAGAATTTTGGTTTTCATATATAAATCTCAAATCATTCCTGTTGAGGGCCATTAGAAAAAGAAAAAAAAAGAGATTGGGAAGAGAAGCGAGAAGTCACATGCTTTGTAGAGCAGGGGAGGAGGTTTGGCAGGAAACCAAAAGGGATGGTCAGAGCAAGTGGCAGCAGAGATTCATGTCAGGGAAGAGGAAGGGATGTGCCTCAGGCTGTGTCTCTGGCACAGACTTGGGAATCAGTATTGACTCTCAGGCAGAGTGGCACTCATGTCAGATGCAGGACTGGACCAGGACAGAGATGTCTTCTTATTGTGATCTTTGAAAGAAAGCTAAGTGAATTTGAAATATCCGGTTGAAACTGTAGAGAAGAAAGAGCCTAAGGAGGTTCTAACAAGAGAGAAAAAAGTTATTATTCATTTAATTATTACAAACTTAGGGTAGAAAGAGTTCACTGATGTTGTTATCTTGGTTTTGTGTACTGTCTTTATTTTTTATTGCTCAGTCCTTTATAAGGGCTTGCATATATCCTTTCCAAGATTTCCCTCTTACCTTTGTTCATTCCAACCTTATTCTCCCTTTAGGAGCTAAGGATTATACCCCTGGGGTGTTTAAATTGAGGAGAGACTACTACAGTTTCTGTTAGGTTTTTAAACTTCAGCTCAGTTTGTGTATGTAGACAGAGCCCTAATCTAAGCCATGTAGCAGAGTGCCTATTATGTAATAGATGTTCAACAAACTATTGACTGGTCATGGGGTACCGAAAAAACAAAACAAACAAAACAGAAAACAAAAACCAATGCCCAAACAACAAAAACATTTAGCAGCTGATACAAATAATACCTTCTTCCATGTACAATGCTGTGTTACATCTTACCTTAACCTGGGAACACGTATACCATTTTCTTTTTTTTAATTAAAAAAATTTTTTTTAAATTTTACTTTAAGTTCCAGGATACATGTGCAGAACGTGCAGGTTTGTTACATAGGTATACATGTGCCATGGTGGTTTGCTGCACCTATCAACCTGTCATCTAGGTTTTAAGCCCTGCATGCATTAGGGATTTGTCCTAATGCTCTTCCTCCCCTTGCCCACCACCTGCTGACAGGCCCTGGTGTGTTTTGTTCCCCTCCCTGTGTCCATGTGTTCTCATTGTTCAACTCCCACTTATGAGTGAGAACATGTGGTGTTTGGTTTTCTGTTCCTGTGTTAGTTTGCTGAAGATGATAGCTTCCAGTTTCATCCATGTGCCTGCAAAGGACATGATCTCGTTCTTTTTTACGGTTGCATAGTATTCCATGGTGTATATGCACCACCTTTTCTTTATCCAGTCTGTCATTGATGGGAATTTGGGTTGGTTCCACGTCTTTGCTATTGTAAATAGTGCTGCAATAAACATGTGTGTTCATGTGTAGAATGGCAATTTATTAAAAAGTCAAGAAACAACAGATGCTGGTGAGGCTGTGGAGAAATAGGAACACGTTTACACCATTGGTGGGAATGTAAATTAGTTCAACCATTGTGGAAGGCAGTGTGGCGATTCCTCAAAGATCTAGAACCAGAAATACCATTTGACCCAGCAATACCATTACTGGGTATATACCCAAAGAAGTATGCCTTTTTCTATAAATGAAAGTCTGACTTTTTAATCAGTTACTTGTCACTTTGATGATGATGATGATGGCAGCTAACATTTATTGGGTGCATATGTGCCAGGCACTGCTTTACTCACATTAAGTTAGTATCACATTTAGCCTTGTAAACAATTCTAGCTGGGATAACCAGTTAGTAACCAGTTAAGTCACTCAAAATAGTCAAACTATGTACAATCAAAATAAAGAGCAGCTTCTGAGGTCAGGAGTTCAAGACCAGCCTGGCCAACATGGTGAAACCCCGTCTCTCCTAAAAATACAAAAAAATTATCTGGGTGTGGTGGCACATGCCTGTAATCCCAGCTACTTGGGAGGTTGAAGCAGGAGGATCACTTGAACCCAGGAGGCAGAGGTTGCAGTGAGCCAAGATTGTGCCACTGCATTCCAGCCTGGGTCACAGAGTGAGACTCCATCTCAAAATAAATAAATAAATAAAAATCAATAAACAGCAGCTTATTGAAAACTGATTTTTTCCCCTCAAGTATGCAGATACTTAAAGTTTAAAGGAAATATCCCTGTAGGAAGAAAATGTACAGATACTGATTAATGGATGGATTGTAAAATATAATTATCTTATATAAGGGAGATTATAAGACAGAATAATTTAAGAATGTTGTCTGTACTTTCTCCATTTGTTAAAATATAAAATGAACACATTTTATCATGTTAGAATTGTGTTTTGATTTTATTATTTGTCTGGAATTACTTTTAAATTGAAATTTCGTCAAATAATGTTTTTCCCTCCAGAGATAGGGTCTTGCTCTGTCACCCAGAGCAAGTGTCACCCAGGCTGGAGTGTAGTGGTGTGATCATAACTCACTGTAACCTTAAACACCTGGGTTTCAGCCTCCCAAGTAGCTAGGACTACAGGCACATACTACCATGCCCAACTAATTTTAAACTTTTTTGTAGAGACAGGATCTTCCTATGTTACCCAGGCCTGGTCTAGAACTCCTAGCCTCAAGCCGTCCTCTGCCTCGGCCTCCCAAAGTGCTGGAACTGCAGACATGAGCCACTGTGCCCAGTCTCAAATACTTTTTTTTATAAGAAGCCAGTGTATTCCTACATCAAATAATAAATATTTGCTTGCATTTATAAGTCAGGTGGACAAGGCATGGAATAATGACCCATTCAATGGCCAGAGCCAATAATTGGACTCTGTGATTTGGTTTCTTGATATTTCCTCTCTCTACTTGATTTCCTCTTTTTCCCTTTTCTCTAAATATTAAAAAAATAATGCACATTTTGGTATTCGTAACTAGTTGTTTTCTCAAGTTGAACTATGGTTGAGAATGATCCCAATTTCAAATATCCCATGTTGACTTTCGGAAAATAGAGAAACATCTAATTGTGGCACTTTACAAGTTCATATTATCACAGATTCCAAGCTGCCTCAATTGTCAGTGGACCATTATGGCTTGCGTGTGGTTTATTTGGTTTGGAGTTGCTTCAACTTTCCAAAGACATAGTAGATTTGTAAAAACAGATCATTAATGATAACCCCAGAATACTTATGTCTGAAATATTGGGTGGATGCAGCAGTTAGGATATTTTTTTTTCCTGCTAGTTGTCTGTTCTTTAAAGGCATGGCTGTTTAGTTGCCACCGGATTGAATGCTTCTGAAGATTAGCCTCTCATTGTTTGAATGTTTTCATAACATTGTTGCCATAAAGCATCTTCATACTTCACAGTTGAGATCTTGACTTCCAGAATAAAAAAGAAGTCAGGGGCTAATCATAACAATTAGCTAATGTGTCAACAATTAGCACTTTCCATCAACCTGCTCTAAAAGGAGACTCTTCTTATCCACTTGCAGACAAAAATGCAATGATGTAGTTAAGAAAAGCACTGAAATTGGCTCCTAGAGTCCCCTGTTGTAGCCAACTAAATCCCCAGGGCATTGTTTACAGTGATTATTCTGCCATTATGATGTTATTGCATAGGCGGAGGGGGGAGTCGTATTGCTCAAAATAAGTCTGTTCTTTTTTTTTTTTCTAGAAGACAAAACAAAACATTAAAAGAAAACAATCCCTTTTTGGCTGCTTTTGGAAAAGTAGAACAAAAACTGCTGTGAAAGGTCAGCCAGTTATAGTACTTTAGTGTTTAACTGGTAAATATTTTAAAAAAGAGTATATTTAATATTTTACCACTTGGAAAACTTTCAATGCGTTTTAGGTCCAGCACAGCTCAATCAATGTAAGATTTCAGAGGTCTCTGGTGGGGATTTCTTTACAATGGATACATTATATTCTGTGGCCATCTATAGCACTGCTTAGTAGAAATACGTTTTAACATCTTTTATATAATCCTTCTAGTAATACAAGAACATTTATACTACACCTTTTATAAAGAACTGCACAGTACTTTACACAGACCCATATATCTATGTAAATACCGTGGGTTTGTCTTTTAAAAAGCCTTAAAACAACTTGTAAATCCCCAGTAGCATCTCAGAATTCTGAGGGTAGGAAAAGTTTTAACTAAAACTGGGATCACCTTTCGGGCAGTTCTGTGAGTCTTTGCAGGCTACTGTCAAGAGCACAGAGGATGCTGGGCTGATAAGAGGTGTGCTGGCCAGGACAATGCAGCAGAGCCAGTGCCAAGGCCTCGCTCAGTGAGGTAGGACGGCTTGAAAAGGGGCATCCGGAATGGCAGCCAGGGCTGTTGCCTTAGAACAGGGAAGGTGAAAGAGGCACTGAGCCGTCCTGGGCCACCAACTCTTGGCAGGGAAATTTGGGGTCCTGCATCCATGCTGTAGATGACAAGGGAGCACATTCGAGCCATGCGCAGAGTTGGAAACAAATGCCAGCATCGGGCTTCTGCAACAAGCAAGGCTAGTGAATCAGCTTCAGTCAGGGCTTCTGAGAGGATCTGGAGAGCTAAGGGTGGGCTTTCCAACTGAGGAAGGGTTACAACAATGACTCTTTCTCTCTAGCACTTCAGAAAGTGGTTGCTGTCAAGATGTCATGCATATTTGATAGAAAAGATGTGAAACTGAACCATTTTTTGTTCAATTTCTGCAAGAACAGTTCTCAGTTCTCAACTAATCTCCCTTTGTGTGTTTCATGATCAAGTTCTAAAACATTGCCCCTCATAGTATAGTCCTAGGGCCCACACACCAATATCCCCAGGGAGTTTGTTAGAAATACAGATTCTCAGGTCTCACCCCAAATCAGGGTTTGCATTTTAATAAGACTCCCAGCTTATTCTAATGCACATTACAGTTTGTGGACTGCTGCTCTCAAAGATGAAATAGAATGGATTGGTTCATTTATTTTTAAATTCATATGATCAGTAACATTTATTCAGGATATGCACTGGAAGAAGATGGTACCCTGCTCTTGAAGGGCTCCCAGTTTAGTGATGGAGACAGATGTGTGGAAGAGATGTGTTCAAAGTGGTTTGATGTGCCAAGGAGTGTGCCTAATTCTGCCTGTGGAACTCTCACAAGGCTTCATGGAGGTTACATTTGAGTGTTGAGTCTTTATAAGGAGTACAAATATGTTTGAGAGGAAGGAAAAGTCTTGCAGCCCATGGAGGTATTACATGAAAGCCTGAAAGAACATGAAATGTGCAGAAAATGATGAGATTTCAAGTTACTGGAGGCCAAATGTGTGGGTATATTGCAGCACCTGGGGATGGGCTTAATAAATGTAGCAATGTTTTCTGCTCCATCTACATAGTAGGTGATCAGTGAATACTTGTGAAAAGAATGAATGAAAAAGAAAAAAAAAGAGGAGAGATAGGCAGGATCTGATTATGAAGCTAATGAATGTGGGCTTTATTTTAAAGGCACTAGAAGCTTTTAAGCAGGGCCATGACATGGCCACATTGAACATGGTGGCAGCAAAGCAAATGATCAAAGTTAGGGGAGACTGGAGGCAAAAAATCCAGGGAAGAGACTGCAGCCCTAATGCAGGGGAGAGATAACACATGTCTGAACAAAAGTAGTGGCATTTGGGCATGGAGAACATGCCAAGTTACAAGATGTTTAGAAGGCAGAATGCCAGAACTCCTGCTTGGTTGTGGGAGTGAGGGAAAGGGAGAAAAAAATCTCAGGGGTGTTTATTTTCTAGTTCAGGTGAATGGTGAGAGGTAACAGCAGAAGAGGAATTGGAGAAAGACATTTAATCTGGTTGGGAATGCACCCTTTTAGGTGCCTACAGAACATCTGGGAGATATCCAAGAGGCAGCTGGAAAATGAGGCCTGAAGATTCAGATGTGGGAGTCCTTGGCACAGGAAGAGAGAGCGTACATGAGAAGAGCAGTGTGATAAGGACGGAAGTCTGGCATGCAGACATTTATGGGACAAACAGAGGAGGATTCAGCCATGAAGCAAAAAGAGCTCCACCAGAGGAAAATAGGAAGGCAGTTTCAGAGTCCTTCTTTTTACACTCTTGTAGCTCTTCATTTTTCTTCATAGCACTTAATGTAGCTATAGTTGCATACTTGTGATTATTGATTTGACTGTAGAGGGTAGGGGGTTTTGTCACACAGGATCTTGAAGGCCCTGTTAAGTACATGGATCTTTATTATGAGGACCCTGAGGAGTCACTGATGGGTTTTATATAGGAAAGTGCTGTGGTCTGATATACGTTTTTAAAAGATTACTCTGGCTACTGGGCAGAGCATGGATCTTGAGGGATCAGCTGGGAGCTGTTATAGTATCCAAAGAGAATAGTCTTTGCACTGGGGATAGTGGAAATGGAAAGAAGTGGAAGAATTCACAACATATTTAGGGTACAAAGTTCTTGGTGAACATTTGACTGTGGAGATGAGTGGGTGGTGGTGACATTTATGAACATAGACAGACACTGGAAGAGGATAGCATGGCAGGAACATGTTGAGTTTGATGTCCAGGAGGAGATGTCTTAGAAGCAGTTGTCCTGGAGCTCAGAAGAGACTCTAAAACATAAGGCAGAGGTAGGAAATTTGTGGAGCTTGGTGGAGGTTCAAAGGAAATTTTAGAAGTTGAGGTCCTATGGGGAAGGCCTAAAGGAATCAGGGCTCTTTAGTATTAATAAAATCTTTTGAGGATACACAGGCAAATGAATCATAGGCCTCTGAGAGGAAACTAGCACAATCAGAATTTGGGTTGATTTGAGTGAAGATTACTCAACAAATCCACCATGGAAGCCTTAGATCAAGTGAAGTTGCTAAAACCCATCTGCTAATATATTTAAAGAACAACGAGCTATTCTATATTTTCCTGGATAGTCTAGTTTCATATGTATATAGAAGAATAAATGAAGAGGTTGTTTCAGGTGCCCTCTATTTCTTTTTTTTTTTTGGAATCTATAAAATATTTATTTCAGTGAAAATGCAAATTCTGAAATAAATGTCTAATTTACAGGACTTGAGTCTTCTCTGTGTTATAAGTACATATATAGGACTTTCAAAGGAGGAGTGAAGGTACTTTTCCCTGATTATGAAATGTAAGAACTCTATTCTTCTCTTGCTTTGAACAAAATTTGAATAGGGCTCTTTTGGTGGGTGGCAAGAGAATATAGTTTCAAGCACCACCAACTGATTAATGTCACTGCACTCACCAGTAGTTAGTTACTCCTGACTTTAGATACAGAACTTCTTCAACATTACAAGAGAATCCTAGCCTCAACATCTACTCTGGGAGGAAGAAATCCATTGCTTTGTAGCTGAGTAAGCATAGGCTCTGAGAGGGATCATGATTTGCTAAATGTCACACAGCAGATTGTGATTCGAATTCAGTTGACAGAAGACTGTGATTTGAATTCAGATTGTGTTGTACTATAGTTTTTTTGAGATTTCAAAAATATTAAATATTACAGTCTCTGTTTTGCAAACTGAGGATAGGGAATTTGTAGTCACTTGCTTTCACTTAGTCATCAGTCAGAAGTGAATCTATGTCCCTCTAACCTGCCATTTATGAACAATAAAAGTGGGTGTGATATTTTAAGGGATTATCCAATGAATTAGTGTTGTCATAGTGTGGAGAGAATTTTGGGTTGTCACAAAAAAAGTATACCTTGGGCCCAATCCGAAGAAAGTAGGTGAATAATTAGGCAAAAATTGAACACACCAGTTAGAATAAAAGAGAAAGAAATTCGGCAGTAAGAGATTTTATCTGAAGTTTTATTTGACTGGAGGCAAGTTACAGCTATGTGATGGGGACAGAGAAGTGGCTGAATCTCAATAGAGAGTTGCCAAGAATAATGGCTTCCAGCACTGGCTGCACATTAGAATCAACTGGGGTGCTTTTAACCAGCACTGATGCCTAGACCCCATCTCAGACAAATTATGTCAGAATTTCTAAGGGTAGGACCCCAGGTATCATTATTTTTTTAAAAAATCCCCTCAGATAATGCAAATGTGAAGCCAGAGCCTCCAACAGGTTATACTTCTATAGAGTTTGGGGGTAATCGTTTTATAATTATAAAACTAATAGAAGTAGGTTTATAGGTTGTGAACAACCATGTTGTTAAATCCCAGTATTATCAACCCTGTCAGCCAAGCCTGGCCACCTTTGTACTCAAGTTTTATTTTTTTACTTTGTTTTTAAAGTAAAAGAAAAAGGCATTTGTGATAGGATTTGAATTCCTTGGGTAAGTTTTTTTTTTTTTTTAAATGTTCTGCTGCATGTACTATATCAGTATATCTAAGATACTCACTTTCTGGCCTGTTTTCCAGCACTGTATATTAAACCAGGGCTAAGGGGATGACCGTTAAAATTGTCCAGACCTGGAATACACTAACTTTAGCCTGTCAATTATAACATTGGCAGGTTTTGAGGGGGAACCTCACTAACAAAAACTTTTGTCAACAAAAACTACTTATGAGATTAGGGAGTTTCAGGATGAATCTACTTTTATGTCTCTGATTTCATTTATCTGGGCCGGTGTATAATCAGAGGATGTGTACGTTGAGGTTCAGGGAAATAAGGTAAAGTTGTTTGCTTTTGACCCATTCTGAAATAGCCACCCAATACATGGTAAAATACAAAGAGGAGCTTACTAGTAAGACATTTCTAATACTAATGGCTATGCTAGAGATACAGGCAGGGTTCCCCAGCATTCCACAGAATGAAACTATAACTGCAGGTACATTTGTGGGATGAGTAATGGAATCATACAGTCATTCCAGAGGCTGTCCCATGGGGAAATAATTCTTCTTGTTGGGTAAAGTTTGAACAGTTCTTTCACATTTTAGTATTGAAGTGTCCAGAAATATATGTGTGAAATGTCCTGCCCATAGGAATTATAAGGGGCTAAATGTTGGAAGATCCAGTGGAGAGGGTGTAGGCATGGGAATTACAAAGATCTGGATTAGAATTTTCATTTTGCCCCTCAGTAGTTGTGGGGCCTTGGGTGCTAGCAACAACTTCTCAGAGCTGCAGTTTCCCCATCTATAAAATAGGAATAAGAACAACAAAAATAATAGTAGCTTACTTTTAGGATTGTGAGATTGAAAAATAATGTTAGAAAAATCAATTACAGGCACATAGTTCCTGTATAAGGTAGTCACTCAAATTTGTGCCTGCTGCTACTATTTATTGTCATTATCCTCTAGATCATTTCTAGTTTGGTAAGTGTTAAAATTAAAAGGAGCTGAGGTCTTGAAGCATGAGGTTGGGCAAGGAGACCCTATCCATTGCAAGTGGCCAGTTAGATATCACAGAGCTTGAGTGTGGATTTTCCCCTTTGGAAGTTGTCCTGCTACTTTGTTTTTTAAACATCTGCTATCCTCAGAACTCTAGCTCCACTAATTTTTTTCTTTTTCTTTTTTTTTTGGAAAGAGGTCTTATGACCTAGCTAGGTGTCAGACATAGTAGCTTTGTTCCAGATTATAGGATTCAGTCTCAGGGTCTGCTTGTACTATTCAGGGTCTGCTGAATTAACGTCCAGAAAGAAAGAATAAGTTGACTATACCCCAGGTTATTAGTGGGAAGATGCCAATGCTGATCTTAAAGGAATACCAAAAAAAAAAAAAAAAAAAAGGAGAGACATTTAACAAACAGAGCTCCAAATCCACTAACTTTTACACCAGATATGGTCCTAATCCTAAAATAATACTATTTTGCTGTGTTTATCAAAGGCAAGACCAGTTCTAGCAACTCCTGACCTGGGTTTCACTAAAGAAGGTTGGGGTTTGTCCTACCTCTGGAAATTGCTGTCTGGTTTGTCTCAGGAAATCCCAGAAAGAGGACAGAACAAGGCAAGGCACAGAACAAGGTTCAGTGGTGGCTGAACCAGGACTCCTGTTATGGTACCAGAAGGTGGGTGATTCTAAACACATGGGCTGTTATTAAATGAAACAGTAGTGCATAGCACAGTCTGAACAGAGTGAGCACTGTATTAGTTGTTATTCTTAACATGATATTGGGCCTTCCATGTACTGGAAGGTAGTTTCTATATTTGACATATATGATCTCTTTTAATTCTCACAACAACCCTATTAGACACTGTTATCATGGGACCCAGAGAGGTTAAGTAACCCAAAAGTCACATAGTTACAGCTGTTGACAGTCTGCTTATTCTCCATTCATTTGCTCAATCAATATTTATTGAGTGCCTACGACATATCAGGCTCAGTTAGGAGCTGGGGATAAAGCAGTGACCAAAGCAGACACAGTTCCTTCTCCAGTGAGATTATAATCCAGATGGGATAGGCTATAAATAAAGGAAGAAGTTAACATATATCAGGTGGTGGTTAGTGCTGCTGAGAAAAATGAAGGAGGGGAGAGAGAAAAGGGGATGCCACAAGGCTAGGGTAGAGAGTTCTGTTTCATACAGTGGTAAAGGAAGGCCTTTGTGTTGAGTGCTTTGCTCTGGAACGACTTTAGGATGGGGAAGAGGCCCAGGTGGCACCTAGACATTTGAAAGTAAGGGCTGAGGCTGCATGTCTCTACCTATATTTTCTTTCATGTTTGCCTTTCATGGATTTTTTTTCTATGTATCTAGAATTAAATATAGAACTAGGGTGAAATATCCCTCAAAAATGGTATGGGAGCAACTATTAGAATGAATAGGACTCTTGGGGCCAATGGGATGGAATGTCTGTTTCTGGTCAAGAGGATTGATTTTGATACTGGAATAGAATATTCACATATATCTTCCCATTGCCTGACTCCAATGGGTGCCTAGGCTTTCGCATCAAGTGGGACTTGGTGAGGTGGGGATGTGGATGCATATTAGTTAAGGTACAGGCTGGCAGCGGCTTAGATAGAGGGAGGTAGGCAGTTCAGGGAAAGTTGGCCCAGGTTTCAGATCCCTCTGTCTGTGGCTTCTCCAGCTCCTGGAGAGTTGTTTCTGCGTTCACCAGCACCAAGTCCCTGTTCCTCCTTGAGTGAAAGAGAAAGGAAAGAACTGGGGACAACGACATTTCCCTTTCGGGACTAAATGGAGAGGTTGCCCATGCAACTTCCTCTCACAGCTGAAACTTGGTCACACTCCGAGGTAGCAGGTTCAGAGCACAGATTCTGGAGTCAGACCATTGGGGTTCACATCCCAGCTCATCCCAGCACATCCCACTTGTACAAGTGGTCTAGCCTTTTTGTTCCTCAGTTTCCTCCTCTGTAAAATAGGGATGGGGAGAATAGCACCTTGCTCATGGGATGAGGATTGCATGTGTTAGTTGGTAGAGGACCTAAGACAGTGGTTGGCAAATAGTAAGCACTACGAGTTTGCTCATTATGTAAATAATTGGCCATACCAGACTGCAGGAAAAACTGGAAATGCAGTTTCTACATGGGTAGCCAAGTGTCCTGTCAAATAAAAGTCAGTAGGGTTTTTTTTTAATAAAAGGAAGAATGGGGGGAGTGGATACAGGACAGTATGACCACATAATTTTTATCCAAAATGACACACTTATGACAGTGAAAGATGCCACTACCACTGATTACACTGGGATACTAAGCGTAAACAGGAACTGTCCTGGGAAAATCAGTATGTCTGGGTGCTTTATCCAGGGGGTTATTAGCTATCTCTACCAGAGCATATGTAATTGACCAATTTCCCAAATTTTTTATTTAAAAATCTTAGTCTGAAAAGTTGACTTCTATTTTTAGGAATGAGTAGAAGGACAGATGGAGGGGATGTTAAGTATTTTTCCTATTTGAATTCTACCACAAACTACGTGGCCTCTTGGAAAAGTATACAGATTAACAAAAGAAACCTTGGTTAAAAGAGGAAATACAAATCAATTTTTATAAGAAATTCATAGTGCATCTGCTGGGTGCAGGAGAGGAGGCAAAAAAACAGTGGAAGCACTCTAGGTATCTCTGGTAGAAAAACAGCTTTGATTGGTTTTTGATTTGCATTGGCAGGGAAACCTAAACGTTAGTCTTCAAAAATCAAACATTTCTCAGGTGTGAGCAACTTTACTTATTTCATCCCCATCTTTTACAATTTTCTTCAATATTGGTAAATAAAATGGATTACTATCAGGCTTTAAAAACTCTTCCTTTTGCCAAGTTATTCTGAAATAACTTCTTAGACTCTAAAGAAAATTAGCCTTGCTCTGGGACTTGGAGAGAGAGGAGCCTTCAGTAAGTAATAAATAACCTATCCAGGTTGGAAAGGGAGGTGACCACCTACAGCGTGAATCACAGGCAGAATTCAAAAACCTCTGTGAGGAACTTAACCCAGCCTGCATTTTCTTTTTCCTTCTCAGAGAACTAATAAGTCGTGTCAGATAAGAAGAAGCAAGTGAGAAATGAATATGAACTCCAGGCCCCCAACGACATAAGGAAATAAAAAAAAAAAAAAATCAGCACTGGGTCATTGATAAGAGGAAAAAATCATAGCCAACTGTGAAAATTCATCCTTTACCTTACACGTCCCCCTCCAAATAGACCCATGCATTTCAGCGAATGGTAAATAATGCTTAAAATGGCAGAAGCTAGAGTTGGGAAAATAAGAACCAGGTGTTGGAAAGAAGGAAAATCAAAAAGACCATACATTTTCCGTCAACAGTCCCCACCATAAATCGTAGCAATGCCACCATCACGACCTGGAGCCCGCAGGGAAGAGACTGTTGTAAAAATGATAAATCAGAATTACTACACACCAGGTCTTGATAAAACAAAGAAAGTTGATTCCGGGGTCTGATATATATCTATAATCACAGAGAAACAAAGCTTGATCAGTGAAGGGCCAAATGTGAGGAAACGTGAAGTTCAAAATCTGATGGCTGCTTAATATTCCAACCAAGCAGAACATTGGATAATACAGTGGAAATTGATGACTCAGTGGCATCGGCTGCAGCAAAATAGAGATATATTACAAATTTCTTCACAAGAATAGGGTGATATATATGCCAGTGCCTGTTCATCACATTTTTATGTATTCTTCATATCTAGAAACAAAAGAGGATATACTGTCTATACCACCTTCATAAAATAGGGTTAACGTATTTTCTGGGGTTTTGTTGTTGTTATTCCCTTTAAGAAGCAAAATCCATGATTCTCTTTCAGAAAAATGTCTATGTGTAAAAATGAGGTATTGCTGGTGCATCTCTTAAATGACTGTCCTAATTGCACTCCTGAAGGACTCTCAGATTCAGTATATTTGTGTGTGCATGTGGGGTAGGGCCGGGTGGGGAAGCAACTGAGGAGCCAGCGATGTAAAAATCACACTGAGGGCAACTTGGTGTTCGATTAAGCAGCTTCAATTAGATTCATGCTGGATTTCACAGAAGCAGTGGTCTAGGTGCTCCCAGGGATTTTCAGAGGCTATTTATAAGGCAGCATGTTCCCAGAAGTGGAGTTGGGAGGTCCTTCAGTCGGAAATTCTGAACGTCTTAATTATAAGGGGTCTTAGACAAAGTGCTCATCTAGCATGGAATCCTCTGACCCTGATAAGTCCATGAAGGAGTCAGGATTATGGGTCTTTGCTCTTCTATTTTCCTAGCTGGTATTGCTTGTTAGCAATTGACACCCAGTAGCTTAGCATCACCATTCTAGGTTAGAGATTTCTAGCCAGTGATTTCTATTTCAATGTCTGCATGACACCTTTGTCTGGCTTGAGAGTGGTGGTTCTCAAAGCGTGATCCCTGGGCCAGCAGCATCAGCATCAGCCTTACCCAAGTGAACTTGTTAGAAGTGCAGATTCTCAGGTTCCACCCCAGACACACTGAATCAGAAACTCTGAGCATGGGGCAGCTCACCAAACTGTTTTAACGAGCTCTCATGCATGTTAAAGTTTGGTAACACTGGTCTAGGGAAAGTGGGATAACAATTGCTAAGGGCCTCTATGTGATTTCCAAGCTAGGCTTGTGATGTTTATTGTTGTATAATCACACTTGAGCTTAGAAGTGATCAAACCACTTTAAGGATTAAAAAATTGGACTCAAAACTTTAGGAACTTGCCCAAGATGATGCATCCAGCGGAGTGGCTAAGTCAGGATTGTGAACCCAGATCCTTTTGATCTAAAACTTGTTATTTCTCCTATACCATGATGACCAGCTGTGGCTCCAAATCTGCTCCCAATTGGTACAAAAGGGAATCCAGTTGGTTCTGTAATGTTTTTAGAATTAATCCCTTCTTCAGAAGTAGATTAATAAAGCTATTTTTAGGCTTTACTGCTATACAGGCTTTATTTTCATGTGATTTAAGACTTGTAACCATTTGTGTGGAAGGGTTTGGACCCATGAGTAGTCATTAACTCTCCTGCTGAAGGTCAATTTTAGCAGAAAATGAGAGGTGGCAGATGTAGAATATTGGAGCGCACTTGTACCAGGAGTTAGGAGGCCTGGGTTCAGGTCTTTGTAGTTTGATGGCCATGTGACTAAGTCATTTAATTTCGCTGAGGTTCAATATTTTTCCATGTGTAAAATGGGGAAAAATGTCTTGCCTCTCTGATGAGGTTATGGAGAGGGTCATATGAGAGACAGTGGAAAAAGATATCTTGAAACTCCAGAGTATCCTTTAAATTTAGAGTTTTGTTACTGTTAATATAATGAGGAGACAAGGATTCAGGATAAAGTTATTCACCATCCTCAGTATCAGGGCTTCTCTTCCTCTGCATTGGTTTGTTTATGCTAGAGAGATCAGGAGCCTCATGAAACAGTTAAGTGTGTCTTTGGCAGATAAATTAATTGTATTCAGGAACAGTGCCAACCCTTATAAGTCATAATGGCACTGAGATAGTTTGGTATTGTGTATGATCAGGAAATATAGAACTGGTGAAGAGCTGTCAGGTTTGCAGGTGATGATGGTGGGAAGGTATGTCAGACCAGGGAGCTCTAAACTCTAGACAAAGGCTAATGATCAGGGATGGGACCCACACTAGAAAATAGGCAAAGGGTCTGTCTATCTGAAGTGCTGACAGCTAGGTGACATTTAGGTGTGGTAACCTGCAGGAGAGGCTCAGTCATGGCGAAATTCTACATCTTTGTCGTGCAGGCAAAACATGACTCCCTCTATTTGAAATCATTTTTTTTTTTTGCTGCTTATCTGAATTTTCAATAAATGGTAGGTAATATTTTTACTATTAAAACTATTACTATGAGTAAAGTACTGAGATAGGTATTACATGGACATTATACCATTTAACCTTTAGACTGACCTTGGCATTTTGGAGTTATTATTCTCATCACAGAGGAAGAACTGAGGCCCAAGATGGTTAATCAATTGCCAAGTCTATAGTCAGTAAGTAGCAGAACTGGGATTGAAACATTAGGCTGTCTACGCTCCTCCTCTCTCTCTCTACCCTGCTGACACCCCAGTGCGGCAGACACCCAAGTGGTTGCAGCTATAGAGACTAGATCCAAGCCCTGGTGCAGCTCTGAGGGTGGCTCTGAAGCTTCCTGGAATCTCATTTTTAGGGCTTCATAGGTGGCTGGGAGACTCCATAATTCCTCTTGGACCTGGTTGACCAGCTCTGTCAGTTCACCTCTCACCCCTCAAATCTATGCTCCACTTATACTAAATTGCTTTGCATCCCTCAAACACATAATGCGCTTTCATGACCCTGGCCAGTTGCTTTTTAAAGTGTAACCTGAGATCTACCTCCTTGTTAAAGATGCACACTCCAGGTCCTTGAGTTAGACCAAAAGAAAGAGAATCTGTGAGTAACACCCAGGAATTTGCAATTTAAGAAGTACCCCCAAGTGATTCATGTAAACATCAACTGGGAACCTCTGCTCAGCCTTATGTGCTGTGCTCCCTTCTTAGAAAGCCCTCCTTGCCTTTCTTTCTGTACTCCCTGCTTTTTCTACCACTTGAATAGCCTTAAGTGCTACCTTGGATGTCACCTGTTTTGTGAAATTTTCTAGGTTCTTCCCCAGCAGAGTTAGCAATCCCCATGTTTGTTCTTCATACCAATTTGTTTCTGCCTCTGCTATAACCCCTATCATATTGTACTGTACTTAAAATATGTATGTCCTTTTTTCTACTTTGAGTTATTTGAGAGCAGAGACTGTGTCCTATTTATTCTAATTCTTCTCTCCAGTGCCCAACACAGTGTCTGACATGGGGCAATATCCTCCAAATGGTTGCATGGAAGAAGATGAAGAGAAGGCAGGCCCAGTCCCAGAGGAACTTGGGTGCTGGACCAGTACAAAGCAGGGAATCTATTTACTTGCTTTGGGCATGCTGGGTCTTTATTCTAAGGGGTGAGGTTAGCACTCAGTTACTAAAACAAACGAACAAAGAAAAGTCATGAAAATCAGGCCCAGCTAGCACCTGGCTTAGGACTTTTCAAATTCTTCGTTGCTGTGATTTGGAATTGTTCTTAGATCTACAGGTGGATCTCATCCTTACTAACCAATTTTGAAATGCTGGGGAGTGGGGATGTCAAACTGGCTGTTACTTCAGCTTCTTTGTATTGGGCTTGTGGTGGTAAATGCTACAGGATATGGATATGGGAAGCCTTGGCAATTGTTAGCAAGCTAAACGGGAGAGTTGTTTCAAATGTGGAGATACCATCAAGCTATTTTCATGGATGCAGTTTGCTCTGGAAGAATAGGGGAAGGTCCCTCAATCAAATTGTTGATAGAAGATCAAAACTATTATTGTCCTGCTGGTTTTCATGACTCAAAACCTTTCAAGAAATGTATTTCTGGGTTTTAACCAAGGTTGCACAGCTGGTAGGAGTTCTGATGTGATAGTCCCTGGTGGATTGTGAGCTTATTAGACCCTGTGGCTTTGATTCTCTGGCAGCTCCTTCCTTTGACTGGGGCTAGGAGACCCAGCAGCTGAAGTGGTGTCTGGATTCAGGGAATGTCAATTGATTTTTTTTAAAGGCCTTATTTTTAATTTTTATTCAATCACTTTATTTCTAGAACCTCCCTTTTTTAAAAAACTGTGTTTGCCACATTATAAATTCTCCTACAGCAATTCAAATGGGAAAAAAGTGAGGTTTGGATTTTTAAAAAGTGTTTTTGTTTATTTAAGAGATGCTCTTAAAGATTATTTGTTGTTTTAGTCAAGTTCCAACAACGAATGTTAGAGGTACCAGAGAAAGCCATAGAATTCCCCTTCCTGGATAACTTGTTTCTGCTCTTGTTTGCCTGCAAATGTTTTAAGATTTTCCAGGGTGGTTGTTTCTATTTAAGGCACATCATCTGTGGAATTCTGAAACGCAAACCAGTTCTTTGAAAGTTTTGATAAATCTAACTTTTTAATAATAGGAGAGTTTCAAATGCCTTTACAGCCACTTGGCCATCTGTAAATAAATGAAGTTCAATGAAGAAAGTAGCATAAGGAAGCTGTTTCAGTTACTATTTCCATTTTATTCATTCACATCATCAGATTTCAAGATGACAAATATGGAAAGAATGTGAGAATACTCCTTTTTAAAAAAATATTATGTTTTGAAACTTGGATCTGAGTTCAAACACTCAATTTAAAGGAGACTTATGATTCAAATGTGAGTTATTTATTATCTTTGTCAATTTCCAGAATTTAAATTTATGTTGGGATAAAGCAAATGCAAGCTACACTTGAACAACAATGGGGCACATTCTTCTCTTTGATTTACTCATTCTTCAAGTAGAGGCTCTTATGTTCTATGTTTGAGACTATGGGCACTTAATCCTGGGTAGACATGGATATTAGAGTCTCAGCTTATTATTGTATCCCGATGTCCTCTCTTGTATATATGTTTGATCATTGGGTTACATTTATATCATCTGAAATGGAAGTGATTCTGATTTACAACTCAAAATTTGCCTAAGCCAAATGGTGAACATTTCATTATTTCCGTTTTATGGGTCATGTCTGAAGGGGTTTGGCTCAGAAAATAGACCACTGCTCGAAAGGAGGAAGTCTGTTCCCATGAGGCAGTAGGTATGGAGTCAGCAAATCATGGCACGTTCACCCCCAGAGTGTCAGGGAAACCATTTGTTGCAGCCGCCAAAGTCAACCCATCCCACTGGCATGCACACGCCTAAGTATGCACATCAAACTTCTATAGACAGACAGATGACACAGTTAGCAAAGTCCTACCAAAGAAGAGAGAGAGCCCGTATCACAGTGGTGGAGTGAAGCTGTGACCCAGGCTCCTGTGTTTTTTCCTTGCTTTCTCTCTCTCACATATCTTTTTCCAGTGCCAATAGCAATACAGATTGCAAATAAAGAGAGAGGAGCAAGCAGAATGTGAGTGTGTGTGTCTGTGTGTGTGTCTTCTCTAACCATAGGCCCTCAGAGCTTTATTCAATCTCTGGCACAATGCAGCCTCTGTAGAAAAGATATTAGGAACAAAAAACAAACATGAAGATTTGGGAGCAGGCTGCCAGAATTATTAAGAAAAACATTCAGATGATGCCATTAAAAACATATGGGGATTCTATAAAGCCCTGAAAAGAAAATGTTTAATTATGCACCGTATGTAAAAGCCATCACGTTTAGATTAATACTAAAGACTGAAACTGCGTGGGGCTTAAGTAGTCCATAGTGATGCATCAATCTCTTTACTCCTTTAAAAATAATGTTTTTCTTTTGCTGATGACAAATACCTTTCAAACTGTTGAGATCATGCTGCTATAGTGATACATGGAGTTTAATGAAGTCCAAAGTCACTAACGAAAGTTTCCGAATTAACTTTTCAAGGTTGTTGAGTTAGATTTCTTTCTTTTCTTTTTCTCCTATACCATTCCTGCTCACTTCCCTCTGCTAACAGGAATTCCTCCTCCCCCTCCTTCTCCAACATACAAAGGTTGCCTATGCTGGTGGCCAGCATAAGAGCCTGGTAGGTTGGTTCGAAATATCCAGTTTTGAGAAGGTTTTCCATTTTAAGAAACTGTAATGATCCATTGCTTCACTTTTAAGTGTTAATAGTTACAGTGACTTTGATTTCCATTCTTAACAGCTCACATTAGAAGCCTGAAGAAATACGAAACTCGTCTCTTTTTAATAAATACAGAACCAGTTTTCTTTCATCTGACTGTGATGTGTTTTAGGATCACCAACATTTCCTTTAGGTCTTTGCAAATGTGTAGAATCATTATTTTATATAGCTTTGAGTGTGTGAGGAGTGGCACAACAAGAAAAAAAAATAAACCTTTGTAATGAATAGGGCTTCCAAACAAGCATACTGACATGCTCTGGGTAAATATAAGTCAAAATTGCAAAAAGTAGTCAGGGCTTAGTTACCTGAGTACTGCACTCACATATTCATACAAGTTTAAACATTGAAAAGTTGATTTGTGGCTTCTCAGAATTAAAAAAAAATAGGGTACAGATACAAAAAAATAAAACAAATTGTATAGAAATGAGAATAATATAAGCAGGCTGTGCATTTATTTGAAAATCTTTACTCATCTTAAGAAGGTCAAAATGTGTTCTGCTGACACTATTTCACTTTAGGGAATTTTATGGACTTAAGCACTTGAAATTTTGATCCTCATTTATTGGACCAGGCTTCTTTAAGTAAACATGTGGTTTATGAATCAGTGGACAGATTTGTTGCTCACACTTGAATGTGTCAAAACGTTTTCCTAAGTGTCAGTAGGCCTCATTGCAATAAAAATGTCAAACTCCTCCCACCTCCTTCATGTCTGTCATTTTGTATATTATATATATGATTGAAAGTTACAAATGACCAAAACTGATCTTTTTAATACAAATGGCACTGTCCAGGAACCTGACTGGCTTACTCAAACGCCTATCTGGAAAAAGGCTCTCCGACGGCCCAACGTTGAGGTTTTTCAATTCAACATTGAACATAGAAGGGTTATTTCAAATCCAATCTAATTCTCGGTGATGGAATCCTGAGTCAACTATTGTTTCAGTGTTTTCCTCCAGTGCATTTGTTTTTGTGTGAGAAAACTTTACTGCTATTGGTTAGTATCCAGCTACTTTTTTTTTTTCCTTCAAGATGGGGTTTTCGCTCTTATGCCCAGGCTGGAGTGCAGTGGCATGATCTCGGC
Organism: Homo sapiens; assembly: GCF_000001405.40. Taxonomy (NCBI): domain Eukaryota; kingdom Metazoa; phylum Chordata; class Mammalia; order Primates; family Hominidae; genus Homo; species Homo sapiens. The sequence continues at coordinate 169,525,973 of NC_000003.12, read as the reverse complement.
TCACTGCAACTTCACCTCCTGGGTTCAAGCGATTCTCCTGCCTCAGCCTCCAGAGTAGCTGGGATTACAGGTGCCCACCACCACGTCTGGCTAATTTTTGTGTTTTTAGTAGAGATGGGGTTTTGCCATGTTGGCCAGGCTGGTCTCAAACTCCTGACCTCAGGCGATCCACCCGCCTCGGCCTCCCAAAGTGCTAGGATTACAGGCGTGAGCCATCACGCCCGGCTGCATCCAGCCACCTTTTACAAAGAGCCACCTGTTTCTGAGTTTACACAGGATATGTTGGATTTATGTAATACAGTAAGATCAATTTAATATGCTTTTCCTTAAGTAGAATGCTACCTGGAATTACTTCACTACCTGATACGTGCTCTCTTTTTGGAGACAAAAAACAAAACCAAACAAAACATGTCAACCCTGACTTAAGTTAGCTTTAAGGTATTTCATTACTCCAATTTCTTCTAATATGCATTAAAGGCTATATACTCTCAGTATGAAAAAATAGCTGTCCTGAACTCCCTACAGTCCCTGTTATTTACAATGTTTCAAAGCTTTAGAATTACTACGAAAGATTTACTCACATAGCAGAGCATGTAAAATTTAAAATCAATAAAGTATATAAATTTTGCTTGTCTCCTTGAATTGATTCCTTACTCTAATAGCTCAATACTGTAATACTATATACTTTTTTATTTCCAATGTCATTACCCAATAATAATCTCTGGACTTTCTTGCCACCGCTCTGGAGCAGTTTGGAATTTCTGACAATATTCTTCACAGGCAGTTTTCATAGGCAATTATTACTCATTGCACAGCTTCTAAAAATGAATAAACAGATGAGAAACATAAGTTTGTTTCTGTGATATTAGAAACTCCGTTATTTCTTGATATGGTAAATATAGCTTAGTATTTGATTTTGAGGAAGATTAGAGAAAGATTTGAATTTGGAATATCTTATCAGGGACAGATTAATCTCACAATATGTCTTTTTTTTTTTTAAACAAGTATGCAGTTTAGTTTTCTATAATTTTCTAACCTAAGAGTTCTTCAGGCTATAGCATTGCTTGGAGATGGAAAATAAGACAGCTAATGTTGAGAAGGTTAACATTTTATTTCTGATACTCATTTTTTAATTCTCTGACAGTATTCACAAGGATAAATTCAATCTCATTACAGAACTTACTAGTGTTTTGCAGAATGAAACGAAGCTCTCCTTAATGGATTTAGAAATAAAGATAGTCCAAATTAAAGCAAGAGAGGCCATGAGCAATTACTCCACCACTTACCCTTAAATTCAGTAGGGTTGTTGTTTACTTAAATCATGGTGGTATCTGGGTCCCAGTGCTAAAAGGATTGAGCTGACCTTGGTTTCTTGAAATGCAAAATGTCAAATCCAAACATGCTGTTGAAATCTAAACTTGCTTTCATTTCTTAATGGCCACTCTTAGCCTGTGAAGAACATAGACTGATGATTGCTTACTTAGGCGTGAAAACAGAAAAGAGTGTCCATGCTTGCACCAGGTATTTCTACTTGCTAAAGCAGCCCTTTCTAGCCAATCTCTTTAATTCTTCCTTTTTTAAGTTTGTTTAGTGTAGTGATTGACAGAGTCCTCTGCAAACTGTCAGAGGATCTTGATTTGAATCCCAGCTCTTTTATTTCGCAACTCTTTAACACAGAGTCTACACTTGTAAAGTGAGGATTAAAGACTTTGGTCCTACCTCACAGGAAAGTTGTAAAGTAAGGACCCTGTACACATTAAAAAGTTTAGTTTCCACATTCCTATATTCTCTTCCACCTGGGCTAATATTTAGTTCCAAGAGAGAAATTTCTTATTGATAGGTTCAGGGATAAGATGCCAGATAAAATTCAGAATGCCCAGTTAAATTTGAATTTAAAATAAACAGCAAATATATATATATATATATATATATATTTATTCATATACATACATGTATGTGTATATATTTATTCATATACAGGTATGTATGTGTATGTGCGTGTATATATGTGTGTATATATACACACATATATATATTACACTAATATATATACACATATATATGCATATACAGGTATGTATATGTGTATATATGTGTGTATATACACACACATGCATACACGTACATACCTGTATATGCATATATATATGTGTGTATATATATAATAGAAGGTATGTCTCATGCAATATTTGGGATATACTTGTATTGAAAAATTACTTGTTTATTGAAGAATCAAATTTAACTGGGCCCTGTATTTTTATTTGCTAATTTGGCAACTTAGGGGTTCTGGTTAAAAAACATTTCTTACATTGCATAGATAATAAACAGCCTAAAGAAGTTTGGGAATGGTTACACAGGGGCCCTTCATGCTTCCATGTCAGTGCCTAAGTACTTAACCCGATGTGGTAGTTGTGAGCATCTGTTCTTTCATTAAGCACATTTGCAGTACAGAACCCAGTATGTAATTTGTAAAAGCACAAATTAAGCCTATCTTCCTCTCTCTCCAGAGAGAAGTTCTCTCTTAGGAAAAAAAAAAAAAATTACCTGCAGTAGTGAGTTTTCATGGCGAATATCTTCTGGAATGCCATTGGCATGCACTGATTCTTCTTGAGGATCCTCTCTCCCAACCAGCAGAACCAGGTTGTAAAATCTGGAGAAACTGCTTGAAAGGACTAGGCTTCTCTTTATAGGCCCCAGAAGGGAGGACAGAGGCACTTCCCAAGACCCTTTATTGTCCTTTGCCTCCAGTACCCAAGTGTTTGTGTGGCTCCTGCTGGTGTTTTGCTGAGCCTGTCTGGAAGGGCAAATTGCTTTTGGATGCATTTCTACTTAATATATTCATCATCACATTTTGTTTGTTCATTTTCTATAAAAAGAAAAGATAAAAGATCTCCACTGGGCTGACCTTAATTTTAATTTTTCAAAGTGATGACATTACAAAAATCATCTATAACATGATGTCATACTCGTCTCCTGACATCTGTTATGTTGGGGAAGTCTTGCAAACACAGCTAATCAGGATTGTCTATTTTTAAGTCTTCAGATGCTGGATCTGGCACTAAATACTGGTTCTTTACAAGTGTGTACAGGTATGGGGTAAATTGTGTAAATCAATTACTAAAAACATTCACTACTTCAGAGCACTACTTATAAAATCTGGCCAAGTGCCAGGTGGTTGTCACACACATCAGAAGATTGATTATCTACCTAACTATTCTTTTTGGTTTCTTTTACCATAATGAGTTACACACACCATCCATGTCTATTCCTTATACTGTTACCTTACATTGTTTTCTCACATTTACATCCATATGATCACATATAATCTTTTCTAAATGCCCAGGACTAATATACCTGGATTAGTGCTGATGCCGAGATCACCTGGTCGTGGCTGAGTGGGTCTAGAGAGATCTGGCTTACTTTTCTGAGGTCACTTATCATACATTGGCTCTTAAGAGTTTAAACCTACTGTGCTTTAAAGCTGTAGGTTTGCTCACTATGAACCAAGGCAGAAGGATGCTAAGTCTGTTATTATATCAATAATGGGTCTGATATAGACTGAGGATTCATATTAACTCCACATGCCTCCAAAAAGGCAACCTAGAGTCATGACTAATACATGGAAATTGGTGCCTCCACCCGCAGCTGACCCTTTGGTCTCTTAAGAAAAGAAACTAGAACTTTTTAAGGTCTGAGATCAAGATCTTACTTTTTTTGTTTAGTAAGTATTTAGCAAATATTTTTGAAATAATTTTCCATGAGAAGCATGAACATGAGCTACATGATTGAGTAAGGATGTAATTGTAGCTTCCACTTGCCTCTCAACATGGAAATGCTAGAAGTTTTACTTACAGGGTTCAAAAACATGTATACAGTCATCCCTCTGTATCTGTGAAGGATTGATTCCAGGACCCTTCACGGATACCAAAATCTGCAGATGCTCAAGTCTCTGACATAAAATGGCATAGCATTTGCATATAACTTATGCATATTCTCCTATATACTTTAAATTATCTCTAGATTACTTATATTACCTAATACAATGTAAATAGTTCTTTTACTGTATTGTTTAGGGAATAACAACAAAAAAAAATTCTGTACTTATTCAAGGCAGACACATTTTTTCCTCCTAATAGCTTTGACCTGTGGTTGTTTGAATCCACAGATATGGAACCCACGGATATGAATAGCCGACTGCATTAAGGTGCTACCTGGAGCAGTGTTTCTCAAACTTGAGTGTGCATTAGAATCCCTGGAGTTCTTACTAAAACAGATTCCTGGGTCTGACCAACAGAGTTTCTCATTCAGTAGGTTTGGTAAAGAGCCCAAGAACATACATTTCTAACAAGCTCCCAAGTGATTCCAATGCTGCACTGGTCTGATCCACACATCTCAGACCACTGACCTTCACACCTCTGGAGACACTAGGGCATCTGGAGATGGATGAGAACATTTTGGGTTAACCACATGAAATGGAACTTTAAAGTCTCTCCTCCAATGAAAAAGTACATGCTGTGGGCTCTGTCTGGCCTTCTTTTTCTTGGGAATGGACACCAAAAAGTAAAGGCAGCCTTTCCTCTTGGATAAGAGATGATCATGTTCAAATCACAGTGAGCATTTACCAATCACTTCTTAAAGGACAGAAATACAAAAATAATCAAGACACTTACCCTGAGCTTGGTAAGCTCAAAGTGCAGGGTCTCAAAAGCTGTAAGGAGTAGGGAAGTTTACAAGCTATGAACGAAGAGATAGTCCTGCTGTTTTTGACCCTCTGGCCCCAGAACTCTGGACCCAACCAGCCTAGGTCTTTGATACTCACCCAAGCTGTTCTGCCACAGTGGTCTTTGGTACTTCTGTGTCATCCCTCCAGCCTCACCTATCTTCTCCGAGTTGACCCCATTGCCTCTGGCACTCTTACTAGTAATATTAATGATCAATATTGTCCTTCCCATTTATTGAGCTTCATCTATATGACAGACCTTGTGTATATGCTTTAATTTCACAGCAACTCAAAAAAATTGGGTGATTTTATCTCGCTGAACATATTGGCAAACTGAGGCCCAGAGTGATTAAATGATCTGGCCACAGCCATGCAATTGGGGTGGGTGCAGAGCTGGACTTTAAAGCTTGTTTTGCTACACATCTGAGCCACTAAGTCACACACTCTTAGCACTTTTCCACATAGCCATTTTTTTTTGAGATTAAGATTTTAAGTTTTTATAAAAATGGCTAGAAAATAGGGTAACACAATTCATTAAATAGTGACCTGTGTTTGTATTTAATAACATGGAAGAATAAGGATAAAAGAACCAAAATGAGAAATGAGATAATCCAAGAAAATAATGGCATTTCATTTTTGAAAGCATTACATACTTACCAAGGTGTACCAGAGCTTCTGTATTAATGACATTAATTCTGTCTTAATGATCTCAAAACCCTTGAAAGTAAGATCCATATTAATGTTACTAAATGGGAAAGATAGCCTCCATCCCCTTTTTGTGAGGACATTGGAGCTTAGAGAGGATGTGGCTCAAGAAAATGGCGGAACAAGAGCTAGAGTTCAGATCCTTGGTGCTCATTACATTGTCCTGGAAGTCCAAGGATGAGGGAGGTTGGGAAGGGTGGGAAAATTAGTATTTCATCAGGACACTTGTGTTTGCAAAAGAAAAATGCCCAATTCAAATTTACTTATGAAAAATAAAAGACAAAGATTTTACTGGAGAAGTAACTGGGAGTTTCAGGGAACATTTGGCTTCAGCAATGTTGAATTTAGGGATTCAGTAATGTCATTAAGACTCAGACTCTCTTTCTATCTTGTTCTATCTTGTTCTTTTGCTTTCTTCCATGTTGGTTACATTCTCAGATCATCTCTCTTCTTACTGTGGTTCTGGGCAGCTCCAAACTAATAAGAAAAGCTTTTCTCTTTCCCAGTGATTTCCACAGAAGTCCCGAATGTAGACTTTGGCCTGGCTTGGGTCGTGTGCCTAACCTTGAACCAGTTGCTGTGGTCAAGGGATGAAATGCTTCTATTGGCCAGGCATAGGCCATGTGCTCTTTGTTGTAGTCTGGGGTGAGACAGGATGGAGTCAACCCCACCTGAACAACATGCCTGAATGGGCAAGGGGGGGTTATCTAAAGGAAAATGGCTGTTGTTGCCAGAAGATTGGAGAATGGATGCTGAGCAGTCAAAAATCAAGAGCATTTGTTTTAGTGAGCAACTAAACAAATGGGCAAAGGAGTCTTCCTGAGGTTTTGCCTTTAAAAATTCAAATTGCCTTGTGGTATGTTTCATCTGATTCAGTGGGTGGTTGTTGGGGCAAGAGGCCATGCTCGTTCTGCCTTCCTCATCTTTTAAGATGGGCTCCTCCTAAAAGCAAAGTCTTTGCCAAGAGCCAGATACTGAATTGGGCATTTTACATAGTACAAACCACAGTATCACAACCACACTGTTTGTGGAACTACTTTGTATTCCTGACATTGAAGAGTAGTGAATTACCATCTAATTTGATTGTGACTATACATAGCTGTTCATTTACATACAATTTTGTGTATTTAAATGGGTTCCATTCAGCCAGTAGTTCCATGTCAAAGTTCATATATCTTTGATACACACCAGTTTAATGTCTCAAGGGTTAAATGGCTGAGGTCTTCACAAAGTCTCACATTATCAGTCTCTGTCTATAAAATGAAGGGCTGGATGAGATTCATTCTAAGATTTACTCAAAGTCCAATATAATATGATTCTATAGTTTTAAGGTTCTGGATAGATCATAGCAGTTGTTTTTCAAACTGGACAAATATTTTTCTACTTTTAAAAATATGCCTTGATTCTACACAGAGAGAAGCATTCTCATTTATTTAAAAATTTGTTGTAGAAAGGAAACAGAAAAGTCAAGTAATTGTTACTCTGGTTGTCAAATTCAAGATGGAATTTGTATTAGTCCTTTTTCATGCTGCTGGTAAAGACATATCTGAGACTGGGCAATTTATGAAAGAAAGAGGTTTAATGGACTTACCATTCCACATGGCTGGGGAGGCCTCAAATCATGGCAGAAGGCAAGGAGGAGCAAGTCATGTCTTACATGAATGGCAGCAGACAAAGAGAGAGAGAGCTTGTGCAGGGAAGCTCCCATTTTTAAAGCCATCAGATCTTATGAGACTGATCTCACTATCATGAGAACAGCGCAGAAAAGACCTGTCTCCATAATTCAATCACCTCCCATAAGGTTCCTCCCATGACACATGGGAATTGTGGGAGTTACAATTCAAGATGAGATTTGGGTGGGGCAGCCAAACCATATTAGAGCTATTCTTAGAATTATTATGAGAATCTGTAAAATGTGAAGCTGGCAAGGAAACAAGCAAACAAACAAACAAGCAAAAAACTGGGGTAAAGTGAAATATACAGTACATATAGTTTTATATATATGAAGCTTTGAATTTATGGGAGCTGGGTTGCCATTGGCTACCATGATTCTTAATATGGTGCCCAGACTCAACAATGAGTCCAGTTGCCAGAATTGGAGGTTAGATTCATAATCCCAGGAAAAAATGCTGCTAAACTTTATTTTAAAAAGCATTTTTAGGAGAATGCTTTTGGCTAGCCGACATCTTATTGCTCCCCTTCCCCCAGGAATCTAAGTGCCTTTAAATTAAATTGGAGAACACCAGTACTATACCTGTCAACTGTTTTCTTTTCTTTTCTTTTTTTTTTTGAGATGGAGTCTCACTCTGTCGCCCAGGCTGGAGTGCAGTGGTGCGATCTCGGCTCACTGCAAGCTCCGCCTCCCGGGTTCGCACCATTCTCCTGCCTCAGCCTCCCAAGTAGCTGGAACCACAGGCGCCTGCCATCACGCCCGTCCAATTTTTTGTATTTTCAGTAAAGACGGGGTATCACCATGTTAGCCAGGATGGTCTCGATCTCCTGACCTTGTGATCAGCCCGCCTTGGCCTCCCAAAGTGCTGGGATTACAGGCGTGAGCCATAGCGCCCGGCCCTGTCAACTGTTTTCTTAACATAATTTTAATTAAATAGCTATGCACAATTTGATGTTTAGTGTCTGACTTCTCTGTTGGAATGTAAATTCCTTGAGTGCAAATGCTATTTCTCGATTTACTTATTTTTTCTCTCTTTTTTTGAACTCAAATGTGTCTGAATATTTTTAAGTTACTGAATCTCTAGTACCTACCACAGTTCCTGACTGAATCAATGGATGGAAATCCTTGGGCTTTCACTGGTCTCTTCTTGTTTTGGGAGTGTCTTTGTGAGAAACATAGCTGCCATCAATTCTGGCTTAGGGGTTCTTCTACTGTAATGTTTAGAAAATAGCAGTCATTCTAGAGGTTTTTTTTGCATAAGATTATCGAAAAACTTTAGGGTTCAGGGTATGTTTTAGGCTGAGTTGAAGAGAAAAATAGTCTATTAGAAATAGTCTAATGCATAAGCCCTAGAGGACATTTCCTTCCCTGCTCCCTCTTATAGGACAAGCTAGCAATATCTTTTTTCCCCTTATAGTCTAAAACGTCTACATGCTTAGGCACATATTGGATAAGTCTTCACAAAATTCAGAGATACAATCTGCTTAAAAGTAGTAAGAAAATTACCATGCTTAGATAAATCTATTACCTTACAAAGGAAACTAGAAGATCATAAGCCCAACTATTGAGAATTTCTACTTGAAATCTAACAGCTAGGCAAGATTCTTTAGCTCCATTCCCTCCCCATGCCAAAAAGCTCATCTGGAAGTAGTCAACAAGATTTAAGAGGTGGTGGTGGCCCCTTTATCATCCACTTCTTGGTCTCCCTGGAGCTTCCTGCCCGGGGAATGATGATGGTAATTGCTTTTTGTTGTTGTTGTTGTTGTATGATCCATGGAATTTTAGGTGTTTTTTGATCACCAATGGATTTCATCTATAATATTATCCATGATGACAATAGATTACTTTCAACTGACTGAATTGATCAGTGACCTGAAAGGAAAGTTCCTATTGCTCATGCCACAAAGTATATGATTTCCTACCATCCACATGGACCTTTTTCGTTTGCCTGCATGTTGCAATATTTATTGTCGTTGCTTAGGTTTTTTAAATTTAGGTTATGATTTCAATGCTTTGACTGGTCAGAAGCAACTAGCATTCGTTTTCCTCTGTGGGTCTGCCCTTAAAAAATGGACCTAAGGAAAATATGAATTCCCCAGGAAGACGCTCATATCTATTTGACTTTGGAAACACAGATAAAACTATTGCAAATCCTGCAAACATGTGATGGAAGAGAATCTATAGCAGATAATTAAGAGCTGGGTTCTGGAATTGGAAAGACCCAAGCTAAAATCTTGGGTCTGTCACATGTGGTCATGGTACTGAGGGTAAGTTGTTTGACAGCCCTGAGTCTCCGAGTCAAGAGAATGCACGCTTTGCACAGGGCTTTGGTTACACAGTAGTAAATGGTCTATAGATGTTACCTTAAAAAAAAGAACATTCTTTTATTGCTAAAAATTTACAGATAACTAAAAGATCTTGAAAAAAATGGGAGAAATTGAGTACGCTATTCATAGTATAAGCAATGAGATATGATCTATGTAGAAGGAAAATAGAGTTATATCTGAAACAGATTGCTTTCTTGTTTAAAGATACTCTTAATTTTTGTTGAGGGTCAGTTTAGGTAATGTCGTATGAAAACTTTTCACGTATTTTCTATCAAATAGTGGTAGAAAACATTATCCAATATCTTACTCAGAGTCTCCTAAACAACAATCCATAGAAGTCCTTTTTATTAGATAATGAGAATTATATATGACATACTTCTTTTCCTTTTCACCTTGTTTTTCATGAAGTTGAACATTAAATTCAGTGCTCAAATGACCATATTGTCAAGGTTTCGAGTTTTTTTCCTTAAATACTTCTCATGAGTTTTGGACTTCTATTTGACTAGTCATAGTGTTTATGTGTATTTTATCTTGAGATGCCTGAATTATTTTGGGAAGAAGGAAGTTAGATTATTTAAGAGATGCTTCCTAGAGCTTGTCCATAATGTTTCAGCATTTTCCCCCCAGTCAGATGAATAAAAAAATTGGTATTTGAAAAATGCTTTGAACTCTTTCAGTGGAAAAGTACTATGCAATGTTAATACATGTTGAATGTTAATATATGTAAAATTTATTTTTATAAGTACAAGTAAATCTTGCAAGATATTTTTACAAAGATGCTTCCCTCTGTAGTATGTGGTGGAATGAGAGACTTCTAAAATGTTTGTCACTTTGTGATATTTAGGTGTCTTCAAATTTTAATCTTTTGAGCTTAAATTGTTAGGCCCATATATACAAAGGACTTCATCTGAAAATGATGCCTACTTTGAATGCAGATGATGATGCCTCCTGTGTAACTCATTCTCTTCTGGAATCTCAGCTTCGATAGGGCCCAGGAGGTAGTATGGTATGGTGAAAAAAAATTCTCATGTTTTAAAGTCAGACAAACCAAGGTTCAGATCCTAACTCCATTACCTGCTAAATAGATTAGCTTTAATTATCTCCCCAGTAAAATGGTGATAATAATATTTACTTTATATGTCTGTACTGAATATTTACGTTGTACCAATAAATGATGACTGCTATTTGCCTAGGCTGCTGGCCCCACAGGAGTTGGCTAGCTCCAAGTTGCTCAGAAACATGGGCAGACACAATGGAGTGAGTGAGTTGGGATTGTCATAGGAGTATAAAATAATATTGTTCCTTAGGATCTGGCCTATGGTACAATCCCATACCAGATCCCTCTTTTTTCCCCTCATGTGCTCTCTACCTGCAAGCAGGACCACAGGAGAGCTGCTGCTGTGCTGTGGCGAAATGAAAGGTGAGGCTGGATCTGTTGGGTGGGAGCTCCGCTTGGAGCTCCCTACTGTCATTCTCAGAAGGCAACTGCTCTCTCAGTTGTTGGATGTGGGTGGAACTGCTGAGGACAGTCTTGATCTGCTGCTTCTTCTTTTAATGCAGAATTATCCAGTACTGTGTCTACCGGGATTCTAAAAAGTTTTTGATTGTTGACCAGTAAGGCAGAAAATTATCTTGCTTATTTCTATTTACTTTCTGAGTTGAATTGTATATTGTTGGTAAGTTGATTTAAAACTATACTGGCTCTCAGATATTATAAAGGGATTGTTTTAAAGCGTGACACATAGGAGAACCCAAGACAATATTTGGACCCTTGAACCCATTCAGGGGTTATTTACTCATTCCGTGAACATTCATCGGGCATCTGCTATGTGGCTGGTATTTAAGGTGCTGAGGAAAGGAGAATGAGGACAGCAACTGTCCTATCGCATGCAAGAGACATTTTTACAATCAAATCTAGCACTGTTTAAAATTGAAAATTATCTTGCTTTAGAACCAGATGCCTGAATGAAAGGAAAGGTTTTGGCATTCAAGGCTTCAGTAGTCAGTGTGGTCACAGTTGATCCTCCATTCACCTTGATTCCTTTTTAGTGAGTGCTGAGGATTTCTGCTTAATTATACATCCTCAAAACCTCTTCTTTCACATGCTTCCAACTCCTTATAGACCAAAAACCTTTTAGTCGCCGACTCCCTCTGTCCCCCAACCATTCACCACTGAACAAATAAGGCAGAATGAGTGTGGAAAAACAAGTTATTTTGTAAAACGATGTCTCTCTCTCTCTTTTTTTTTTGACTCTGTGCTTAAGAACTGTAAAAATGTTGCTTGTGTTAGTGTGTCTTTTCCTACTTAGAAAAGATCTCTTGCACTTGAATTAAACAGCTTGTTGTAAGCATATTAGGAATTCTGGAGTTCACTTAAGCACTGGACATTTTCACACTCAAAAATGTAAAGGTATGTGCTAGATTACCGACATGGTTTTCTTATGACCATCTCAACTCCTTTCCCCCTAAAATTAGATTTCTTTTTGGTTTGGGGTAGTAAAGTATGTGCACACCCTTGTAGAACAATTGTGAAATATTAGGTCTGTATTTCTGGATGCACTAGCCACTGATGTAATCCAATTCTGATGGGAGAGTAAGTTGTGCCTATGACTGGCATTACAAATGCAGAGAAAGTAAAATGATCTCCTGAAAAAAAGAGCAGGCAGTTATTTTTCAGTGGTGGGAAGAGGTTGCAGGTGTGCCTGGTGTTTTTAAAGCTCTCAATTATTGATCTTGTCCTAAGACTTACAAATAGAACCATTAATGTGTCAGTGTGACCCAGATAACAGATGATTATTGTCCATCTTTAAATTGTACTTAGTACTAAAATATATATGTAATGCATGCAAAAAGGCCAGCTTTATCACACCTCCTCAAGGTTTTAAAGGAAAGAATTCATTTTTTTCATTTATTTTTCTCTCTGCCTTTCTCCCTCCTCCTCTACCTCTACCCGCTGCATTTATTTCCTCTGCTAATTGATAGAAATTCCGGACTGAGCATTCCAGCCACTGGCTGGCAGACACAAAAAGGACACAACTTACAGTTCTGCAATGGAAACATCTTAAAGCACAACTTTTTAAACTATTAGTAACTATTGCCTTCTGAACTATGCAGCTCATCACAGTGAGTGAAGCAAGTTAAAGGACTATAACACCCAGGGATTTTAGTTCAATTTCACTCTAACCTCAATTTTATTACCGTAAGTCCAGTTTGTCATCAGAGAGCTCCACATCACACTTGATGGGCAGATTCATCTGCCTTCACTGTGTGCATGTGGTTGATGCATGAACAGCAAGGCAGTAATACATCTATTTAAACCAAGCCTTGGAATCTGTCCCAAATGACATAATCTGCCATAAGCTGGGAAATCTGGTCTAGACCACAGAATGTTATGGGGTGCACACCTGTTCAGAGAATCATCATCAAAAGGTAGTTAACAGCATTTCATTGTCATCCCGGGGAAACAAAATAAGTCACATTTGGCAGGAGTTGGACCCGGGCCTAGAGCTACTTGACATTTTTATATAACAAATTAGAATAGTTGATAGAATTGTCACAAAGGATCTGTTTTTAAGGTAAGATTGAAGCACTAATTTTTGTACAGAGCTTCTGTCTGTGCCCAGCCATGATTAGGAGGGATTAGGTGGAGAAACTAAAGTTGATATAGCAACCCTGGTTTCTAGTAAGTCAGACTCCTGGTGATGAAAGTGTTGAGGATGGAGATGGCCCTGCAGGAAGAAGTGGGAAGGGGGAGCTGGGATGCTGTGGAGATGGCCCTGCAGGAAGAAGTGGGAAGGGGGAGCTGGGATGCTGTGGAGAAAGATAGACAAGACTTCGTGATTTCACCAAGTTTATTCATTCATTGATTCATTAATTGATTCTTTCATCAGATATTATAAGTGCCTACTATGTTCCAGGTTCTGTGGCAGGCACTTTGGACAAAACAGTTAACAAGATGTAGTTGGTCACTATGGGGAAGTAGCTAGGGCTGAGAAAGGACCCTCTGAAGTAAATATTGGGCATGAGGAGAACGGTGTTTCTTCTATCCAAGATGGGAGGACTGGGAGAAGGACCCTGGAGGAGATTTGTTCTTACGCTTACTGCATTTGAGTTAACATTGTGCTATAGATGCCTCTCACAGAGATGAGGAAGAAAGAGATGTGAGGAGATAGGGCTAAGTCTGAACAATTCAGAGTTGTCCACTGGTGGCAAGAAATCAAAAATCTGGGAACAGAGGAAATTTCTTGGGAGCGTTAGTAAGTAGGAGGCCTGGAAGTAAGTCTTGGCCTTGGCCTCAGGGTATGGTAGGGTGGTTGGGGGATGAGGGAGGAGCTAGAGACTGAAGGAGATAAATTTCAAAAAGTGTTAATTCACCTGGAACTCAGTTGCACAAGCTGTGCATTTAGGGAGATGGCCTGTCGAACAGATTGCAACTAACTGGACCCAGATAAGAAAATGACCTGGACCTAGCACAATACAAGCCTCAATACTGTGGAAGAAACAAATGAGGCCCAAGCAGTTAAATAAATTATCTACTGAGTGCTTTTGTGTGCCCTATGGGAATTTCAAGACTTAGAGGAGTGTGTCCAGAAAAGAACATTTAAAGCAATTTACATGTTGGCAGACAGGAACTTATAAGATGAAAAGAATCTAAGTTATTTAGTTGGGAGAGAAGGCTGATGGGGGAAATTATAGAAATTGTTAAACAGATGTCTAGTAAATAGATGTCAGCTTCTGTAAGAATACTTTAAAAAAAATTTTTTTTTGTGCTTTTTTTTTTTAAGACAGAGTCTAACTCTGTTGCCCAGACTGGAGTGCAGTGGCACGATCTCGGCTCACTACAACCTCCGCCTCCTGGGTTCAAGCAATTCTAGTGCCTCAGCCTCCCAAGTTGAGTAGCTGGGACTACAAGCGCCCACCATCACACCCAGCTAATTTTCGTATTTTTAAAGAAGAGACGGGGTTTTGCCATGTTGGCCGGGCTGGTCTTGAACTCCCGGCCTCAAGTGATCTGCCCACCTCGGCCTCCCAAAGTGCTGGGACTACAGGCATGAGCCACTGCACCTGGCCTAAAAATACTTTTTAAAAAAGGTTTAATTTCCCAAGTATGGGAAGAATCCTAGATTAGGGGGAGAGAATTTTGGTTTTAGCCTGAACTTTCCACCACTGTGCTGTAAGATTCAGTTAGGTTAAATACTTCGACCTCATTGAGCCACTGTCTTCCCATTTGTAAAATATAGAGATTTGGCAGATGATCACTAAGATCATAACCTAAAGAAAAGAATGGGTTGTATGTGATAGTAATTACTGTTTTAACTTACTGAAATTCAAAGAAACCTGAGTCTGATTAATTTGAATGCAAGTCTGATGTGATACCTACAAATTCAGCATATAAAATGAATCTAAAGAGTGCTTTGCTTAAGAAAAATCTGCTTAGCTGCTCATTGACCCTAATATAAAAACATTTGAAAATAATAAGATTTAAAAAGTAAGGCCAAGTATAGTAATTCAAACTTGCTTGTCATCTTTAAAACAGGTCCCTATTTTAACAGGGGTTGGGTGGTGGTGGTTGCTGTTTTTTAACGCTTTGAATTAGTTTCTTGATTCAGTGGCAAAGGGTGATGATTGTTCTTCCTATTGAAAGAGGTTTTTACCAACACCTTTGCCATGTCTGCCCTCAGGGGATTTAAGATAAGTAGCACCAAGTTGGCCCTCTAAATTTGCCCCCCTCTCCCTGCCACAGCATTTAGCAGATTGGATGAAAATGTGTCCGCAGAGATTAGATATTCCAGTGACCACACTGCATTTTTCTGCTCTGAAAGCTATCTCTCGGATCAGCCCTCTACCTCTGGTTTATCGGGAGGAGAGTATAGACAGATAACATCCTTGCGATGTGACCCTGACCTTTGTCAACCTTTGTTAATGCTTCATCTGAAGTCAGGCCTAATGTTTGTAAACAGGATATAATTAAGGCTGGGAACTGACAGGGTCTGACATTAAGACAATGCAGAGTTGGCAGGGAATGGCCTGTGAGATGTCAGCTCGCATTGTGTTCTAAGTGCCTTCATAATAATTAGTGTCCTCTGTCTGAAGGAAGTTCACTCAACTTGGATTAATCTGTCACAGCATGGAGGCCATCCTTGGGAGGGCAAGTGTTTCCTCTGATAAACCTTAGAACAAGTATGAGAAAAAAGCAAAGAGGCTCAAAAGAAAACTGTGAAAGTCAAGACTGCTGGTGACAGGTGCTGCCTGAAAATTAGAAACAGGAAATAAGGGGGGTGGGGGGACACTCCCTCCCTGCCCCCGACCCTTCACATCCCAATCACAGAGTGAATGCAGGAGTTTACAGTGATGAGAATCGATTACAGTGATCCCAGCCCTCCTGATCTGGATGCCGTGAGTAGACACAGGACTGTAAGTGTTCAGAAAAGCTTGTGCATATACACATTGCTTGGCTTTTGCCTTAACTGGCACGGTGCACGTGTCTGAGATTGCCCCCACCCTATAAGAGGATTTTGGTTTAACATGTAATTGATCCAAAGAGACTGAATCTGCTTTCTGTTATCAGAGGACATTTGTTTGAGCATCTGCTGGTAGTTGGTGTGGTACAAAGTGAGTCAAGAGATGCGTAAGCCTGATGCTGACCGGCTGCCTTTGAGTCGGCTTGGACTCTTCCTGAATCGCAAAGCAGGCAGAGAAAGCAGAGACTCAAACGGATACTCTACACCAGTGTTCATAGCAGCACGATTCACAATGGTCGAAAGGTGCAAACAACCTAAATGCCCATTGGCAGATGAGCAGATAAACAAAGTGTGGTGTAAACATACAAAAGGAATATTATTCAGTCTTAACAAGGACAGAAATTCTGACACATGATACAACATGGGTGAACCTTAGAACATTATGCTAAGGGATATAAGCCAGAGACAAAAGAACAAATAATGCATGGTTCCACTTTCATGAGAGGCCTAGAATAGGCAAATTCACAGAGACAGAAAGTAGAACAGTGGTTACCAGGGGCAGGAGGAAATGGGGGAGGAGGCAGGAGGAAATGCAGAGTTATTGGGTACAGAGTTTCAGTTTGGGATCATTAAAAAGCCCTGGAGATGAGTAATGGTGATGGTCGTACAACAGTGTGAAGGTACTTAATGTCACTGAACTATACACTTAAAAATGGTTAAAATGGTAAATTTTATCTTATATATGTTTTACCACGATCAAAAAATTTTTTGAAGTGGTGATAGAAAAATAGATTTTTCAAGCTAGATGAGCCTTCAGAGCTTCTGAACATCAATCATCACATCAGGGAAGTGACAGGATTTATCCAGGGTCACACCAGGAGCTGCTGGTGGAGCCTGCTCCTGACAAATGGGCCATTCACTTTTAACACCAAGTTCTAGTCTTAGACAGGGAACCTTTTCTACTGAGCTTTTGGGGAAGATGAAGCCCTGAGGCACATTAATAGCAGGTCTCTTCGGCATTTATCTTAGTGTAGAGTTTAGTCATTGTTCCTTGAATTTGTTTGTATTTAGCAACTTTAAAGGCCTATATTTGCATAAGACTCTTTAGGTCTCTTTCAACTCCAGAACTTGATATTTCATGATTGTATATAGGCAGGATGACTATAGCGTCACACTTATTTTGTAACTAAGAATAAGACGAATATGTTTAACTAAGGCATTGAATTTTTCCACTGGGTTAAGTAATTGTTTTAAAAACCTCTTGTCAGTGAGAAATAAAAGAAGCCATGTAATAGTTCCCAGTAGAATGATCAGAAAGGAATGTTACATCAAAGAGGCAACAACTTTGAATACGTACCTTAGGAAAGTATCTATTTTAGGAAAAAAATAATTTTATTTTATTATTTTTCTAGTTGCATAGCCTTCTTGCATCAGGAGATGGTGCTGCTCATATGAGAATAGTTTCTTATCATTACCACACTTATTTCACTGTCACCAAACTTATTTACAGGATTGACAGGCTGGGTAAGAAGAGTCTCACAAAAAATGTGTTTGTGCATGTGTGTGTGTGTGAGTGTGTATGTGTGTTTACTCTTCTTTTGTATTAGATATTAACATCCTGAGGCAAATTTTCAGAAGCTTAAACTTTAGAAAATAACTCTTTTGTCTTTTTTTTTTTGCACTCCCACCTTTCTATAGAAGCAAATTTCCTATCAAATTCCTTTTTGTGTCATTCACCAGTTTACTGTGTCCCACCCTATTCCCATGCCAGATTTTACAGCGGTTAAAACAATTAATGGCACATGCTCAGTGATGAAGTGTAGGGATAGGAGAAAATAGAGAATACTCAACAAAATAATTGTGGGATTTTCTTCTCCAGGTTCTGCCATGTTTGAAAGTATACAGAGGGGTGAATGTGGAGGGACCCTTCTTGAATTACCATCCATTTATCGCCAGCCCCAAATGTTAGGTACAACTATGACCTATTGAGCACATAGTATATTCAAAATGTTATTTCACTTAGTTTTTGAAATAGTCTCTTAAAAGAGTTCTTTTCTCCATGGATTGAACTGTGATTTAAGAGGCTAAACAAGTATCTCATGGTTACGTATTAAGAAATGGCAAGTTGGGGCCGGGCGCGGTGGCTCATGCCTGTGATCCCAGCACTTTGGGAGGCCGAGGCGGGCAGATCGCAAGGTCAGGAGATCGAGACCATCCTGGCTAACACGGTGAAACCCCGTCTCTATCAAAAATACAAAAAATTAGCCGGGCGTGGTGGCGGTGCCTGTGGTCCCAGCTACTCGGGAGGCTGAGGCAGGAGAATGGCGTGAACCCGGGAGGCGGAGCTTGCAGTGAGCCGAGATCGCGCCACTGCACTCCAGCCTGGGCGAAAGAGCGAGACTCCATCTCAAAAAAAAAAAAAAAAAAAAAAAAAAAAAGCAAGTGGGGATTTAAACCAAAATTGGTCTTTGCTCTTTCCACCATTGTAGGCCTTCTATTCTTGGATATAAATGAAGCCAGGGGAAAAAGAAAACCCTATAAAACCCTCTTTTTCTTCCCTACCCCTTCTTTCTGAAAGCAGACACCTTAATTTGGAAAAGTCAGTTCAAGACTCAATTAATAAATTCCCTACTAAGAGGGACGGCTGTATGCCTTTAAGTAGATTGGCATGGAGGAATGAAGGCATGAAGGAGGTACCAGCCTCCATCAGCCTGACGTCACCAGTGTTTTCAAAGAAAAGGACTAGCAAATTAAGCTAACAATTGGTTAATTTTTCATTACCCAAATTAAATTACCCATTTACCTACATGCGTTTATAGGCTGTATCTTAAAGACTTGTCTGAGGAGAAAGAGAAGTTTGCTTTAGTGGCTGGCAAGAGGACAGATCTTTTCAGAGGCACCACTGGAGCCAAAGTGATAAACCATTTTGTACAGGAAGACTAGTGCTAACACCCAATGTATAGGGTAGATAGTTGACCAACAGTCTATATCACTGGCATTGTGATTGAGACACATTTTTAATATTATCCAGACAATTCAGGGATATGTGTTTCTTATGATTAGTGAAGAGGGAAGAAGTTTCCTCCTTGATGAAGGACGAGACTGAAATATAGCCTGAGATTCAGTTAAGTGGAAGAACATGTGAATTTTAAAAACAAATGGCTTTCCAACCATCATGACTTAGAAAAGAGGGAGAAGAAAAGAGGCATGGGAGGCAGATACACACACTGTTCAAAGGCAGAGAGATGAGCCAAATTGGGACCAAGTAACTCTACTTAACCTTGGGAGCCTTCTTAACTAAATGTAGTATTATCCTTCCAGGGACTACCTCCTCACCCTGGGGTAAGTATAGCTGCATTCTGTGGCTGTTAGATGAAAGAGGAAAAGACAGAGAAGCATCTTACAGAATTAATTTTGGTGCCCTAAATATTGGCATGTAAATATATAACCCCTGGAAGAAAAAAACAAAACAAAACAAAGCAGAACATTAAGGCTTTTTAAAGATAGGTAAATCATTTTCTTTTCAAATGAAATTCAGTTTGACTGCATGAAATATGAACAGTAATTAAATGCACAGTCTGTGGGCCTTCCATACTTTAAAGCGCTTTCTTTAAAAAAAAAAGAGTACTCACCTCAGACAGGCCAATTACCCAAGAATGATGAAGTCAAGAGGAAAGTCGCTAAATTTCTTTACTTGAGTGATCACAACCCCAGCCCGTGATTAGTCCCCACGGCACCAGCGGGGATGTGGCGGGGACACTCACATTGGAAGACTTCAAATAGTCATTTCCTTGGTTAAAATAAAATCTGACTGCACTAAATAGACAGTTTTTAATCTCAATTGGACATCTGAAGATTTCTCAAGCTGTTGTTGGCTTCAGCAGAAACAAATTTTTCTGCTTTGTTGATTAAACCAGTGGTCTCCACCATTGCTTATCGGCCTGCAACGAGCTGTTCTTTTTAATTAAAAGTGAGCCACCACGAGAGAGCAATTAACAGCTAGTAATTACTGTGCTCTTCAGAACGGCAACATTTTGCCTTTCATTCCAATTATATAATGGACAAGTGGGTTTTTGATCTTCAAATTAGTGAGCTCTTGTCCTCCTTGTTTGGAGGCAGAATTGGCAGGTTAATGATGGCCTGTGGGGGCACTCTTTCCTCTGACTGATGTGAGGCAAGAACGCCTTAAAGGAGGCAGTGAGAGCCTTTCAAGACCCGCAGTTCCACCTTTATGATAAAGACAGAGAAAGAGTCTTTATTTTCAGAGGGTTTTGATGAGGAGGAAAGATAGGCTTACATGTGGCCTCCAAACAGTGCCATGTGCTTTTCCTTCTTCTTATCCTCCAGCAAAAGGTGACCAAGTTTTAAAACATGGAAAACTGAAAGTTTCAGATGTGCAAGATGGCTAAGTTCTGGAGATCCAGTGGACAGACTGATGACTATAGTTAGCAATATTGTATTGCATACTTGAAATTTTCTTAAGAATGTAGATCTTAAATGTTCTCACCATGTGTGTGCACGTATGCATACACACAAACACACACTCACACAAGATTACTATGTTAGGTGATTATATATGTCAACTAGCTTGATTGTGGTAATCATTTCACAATATATATGTATATCAAGTTATGTACCTCAAATATATACAGTTTCTATTTGCAAATGTACACCAATAAAGCTGAAATAAACCCAAGGAAAACTGGAATTAGATTATGTGATGTTTTGGTATGCCTTTGGTAAGGGCATAAAATACCACATGTTGGCAAAAAAAAAAAAATTCCTGCTCTAAGATTAAGAAAGGATTTTGACTTTATTTAAATTTATTGTAACTACTTTGAGAATTACAGGGTATGATATACTTTGGATAAAATGGAATCTTATCTTAATTGATAGTAGTATATGAGGAGTAGGCCTTGCACTTATTACCAGATCTAGTATAAATACTGAGATTATAAATAGAGGAAGTTGGACATTTTTGTTTTAGACATGTTTGTTTTCTGTCTCCAATCTCTGCTATTCATGCAACAACATAGATGGAGCTCTGCTATATTAGAGAACAGTCATGTGTCAGTTGCTCTCCATGCCCCTACCTTTTGGTGGTGACGGATGGTAGCCTCCTTTTTGGGCCAGTAATTAGCTGCAGGTACAAAAATGCAGATGCAATCAGCCAGCTATGCCTATGCTAAGCGTAAGCATATATTTTATTTATATGCTTATGTTGAGAATGTGATAGCTACAGCAATTATTTTGGCCACGAATCACTTTGCGGGGGATTTCTTTAAACAATATAAATTTGTAACATGAACCCCCTGGTTTCTGGATAGGCAAAAATCACATCCCACCCTGAAGAGGCAGAATGACAAGCTTCTGTCTTGTCATTCACTTGTCATTGCTATCCTTTGATAGCATCCCACAAGTCTCATTTAGGCAGCCAGGCTGGTTGGTGGAAGATACAATTTTGTTGGGTATGGAAACAAATGATACAGTATGAAAGGAATTTGAGTTTTTGAGTGTGGAATCTGGTTTATGAGCTCTTTTCAATAATGTTACATGAAAATAAAGTGGAATAGAATTATAGTTAGTTGCACATAATAACCATTACGTAAACTTTCAAGATATTAAAAAGACTTTTTAAAATGAGACTTAAAGCAATTAAATAATTGAGTAGGAAAAATGAGTACCTCATATATGACTGAATTCTATCAGAGAACATCTTCATTGAGCACTTTACTGGTATAAGTCTTGGTTGCTGGATTTTAGCATCCCCATCGAGACAGAGCTCCAGCTGAAGTGATGTAGCCTAATAAGTTTGAACCACCTCCCACATTCCCACCCCCACCAAATGGCAAGTCTGGGCAGCTTCTCCATTAGGTTGTGCAGCCATTTAATTTAAACACACACACACACACACACACACACACACACACACACACACTTCTCTTTTTCTTTTTTTTTTGAGAGCAGAAGTCACCTTTTCCCTGAGACATCTTGAACAAAGTGTGCCTTTTGATCTATTTTCAGAGATAGTTTTCAGTTCAAGTCTATTAGTAACTTGTGGGATTCAGTTTTTGGATGGCCAGACACCCAAAAGTAGAGTAGAGATTCAACATATAGCTTTAAACAGAGTTTTACATATTGAAACAATTGATACTATTACAAGAACGATATTCACTAGCATGCCTCATTTAGCACCATGGTCTATGTTACAGTGCTACTAGATGATGCTTTGAAATCACAACTTATTTTGCCAATACAAATACCATATACTTTGCCCATGAACTAAAGTTCTGGAGCCAGATGGAAAAAATATGCTTTGATATGTCTCCTTCTTCTTAACTGCTGAAGGTTTTAAAGAAATAACTACATAGCTTTTTTTGCTTTCACTATTGGGTTGTACAGTGTTTGTAAAGGGTGGGCTATTGAGTTTGAGATGTACATCCATTAAGAAGCAAATTTTGATTGATATAAGTTAAATTTCTTGAAGTGTAATGTAGCAGGTGGAGGACACAGAAGTCTAAGGGATAAAATGAAGGCCGCTTTTTCTTTGTAAACCTAAAAGAAAGATTTCTAAACTTTTTCAAAATGCAAGGCTTTTCTGGTTCAAATTATTGCATTAAGTGGGGGTAAATGTCTTTTCAATCACTGTAATATTCAGAATCTTTATTTAACATATATGTCCTGTGATTTTCCAAATTCTAGAGATAAATTTAGTTTTTCTATTGATTATGATTTATGCAGTTCTAGTTGTCATAGAGTCCAATGGTTTCACCAACGTTTTCTTTGTCTAAGCCTCTGGGAATTGGAGGGATAAAGCTCTATACTGACATCTCTCTTTAGTGTTTCTGAGATTATATATGGTATGCACAGAAAAAAATAAGGGCTTTAGATAATAGTTTTAATCGTTTTTTGGTTATGTGAACTTGATCAAATTACTTAACATCTGTAAGTCCCAGTTCACTCTCTCTAAAATGGGATATTGACACTGACTCTGCAAAGCTGTTGTGAGAATTTACTATCGTATGATACATGCCAATGAATTGCCTGGTGTGTGGTAAGTACTTAAATAATGGTTGCCATTATTGTTGTTAGTGTTCTCAATTCATTTAATTTACAGTGGCTTTTTGCTTTCTTTTATATGGCATCTGAATTCAGGAAAGAAGTATTTGGGAAAGTTAGTCAACAGTAGGCATTGATAACCTAATATATGAAGCATATGGTTTAATATGTTTATATCTTTATAACAATCTGAAAATATTGCTGATGGAAATGAGTGGCATTTTTCTAAAAGTTCTATGACATACTTATAACTATCCAAAATTAAATTATTCTTCATTTCTTCCTGAGGACAAATTACTCCTATAATGATGTTGAACTTTAAAGCCATTTTTACCATTGGAAAACCAAGCTCTATATTTAAAAAGTGTTGTATGATCATCTTTATCTGTGGCAGAGTGTAAAGAACACTGAATTAGAAGTCATGAGATTACCACTTTCTTGTTCATTGAGCAACTCTGGGTAATTACTTAACATTTATGCATTTGATGTGTAAAAGGGTGTTTTTAGGGGTCTCTGGTTGCAGTCAACAGACACTGGCTCTGGCTAACTTAGGCAAAAGAAAATTTATTAGAATAGGTTTGGGAGCACACAGAATTAAAGGAAAGCAGGAAAATCAGACTTGGAAATGGGACAGTAGTCAAGGCATCTCCAAGGAGTTGGAGATCAGGATAGGTCTTGTAGCAGGAAGAATCTGATATGGATTCTGCCACTGAAATGAAAACCTCTAAATATTTTTTGTATCTTTATTTCTCTGTGCAAGCATCAAGTTCACAGAAAGGACTCCAATGAGTGGTCTAATTTGGCAAGGCTGCCAGCTTGTAAGAGAGATGGGTTTTTGAATCCAGTTTCTTGTCTATGTTCTGTGAGTAACAGGTGAATATTCAAAAGGAAATCAGAGCACTGTAGGAAAAGGAAGTAGATCCTGGCCTGCGAGAAAACAATAACTACAATGAGGATCATAAATAATGTTGCTTTTCCCACAATTTGTGAATATTACATTATGTGACATATGTGGTGATGCTAAATAAAGTCTAATGCACTGTGTAGCATTATTGTTATCAGTTATTTCTTGTGGATTTCAGCCAGTATAATTATTTGATACAGACCTTGAACCAGTAAGTGGCTGACCCAGCAATCATGTTGTGTAGCTACTTCTGCACAGTGTTTTATCCTTAAACATAATTATAAATTAAAAAAATAAAAGCTTGAGTATAGCTTTGGAAGCCAACATTTCTAATTAAAATCTTGAATTCATTCTCTACTTGAGGATGAGAAAAACTCTAGCTAACATGAATGAGAGCCAAAAGTGAATGAATTCTTTATTAGATTTTAAGCAAAGGAAGTTGGTAAATGACTAGCCTGGTCATTAAAAATCTTGTCAACGGCATAGGAAAGAATGTTTTATGTTGTTAATTGCAGACTTGCTTGTTGAGCTAGATGCAATAATAAGAATTTGTAGAAATGGCATGTAAACATTTTTTATTAGCAATATTCAAATGAGTCTTTCAGAGCTGGGTTAAAAACGTGGCCTCCAATAAGAGGTTTTTCTGGTTTTCTTGTTTGTTTTTAATTGATAAAGATAAAAATATTAAGTAGAAGTAGAACATCATTATATCTTGAATGTAAAATGCCTTTCAGTAATTTTATTAGAAAATGCTTTTCACTTTAAAAAAAAATTCTGATGTCTGTTTTCTAGTCTTTAGCTCTAGGGATGTAATTTCTACATATGAGATATAGGAAATGGGATGTCTGTTAGTGTTCATTACATTATACAGAGTCATGCAGAATGGAATCTGTATGTTAATGTACTTAACTCAACCCAGGCATGTATATTCAAATTCTAAGCAAACCTTATAGTTACCCTGTTATAGTTGGAAATCTGAGAATAATATTTCTAAATAAGTGTTTTTATTAAATCTGGAGGGGCCTGATTGTATAGGTACCTTAATGCAGGCGTTAACAGAGAGATAAGTAAGTTGTATTCCTGAATTCTACGGACAAATGCATTGAGTTTATAAAAATCTAGACAATGATCAAATTGAACTTAATTTCTATTTAGATTAAGAATAAATTGATTTTTCTTAAAACTTTTCTTTATTAAAACTTTTCCTCTCTCCTTTGAGACTTTATTGTTTTAACAACTGTGTCAATGTATCAGTGGAAGAGATTAAGTTTATATAATCAGATTTAGCCCTGTTTTTAAAATAAGCAACATGTTACATAATCTAATATTATACATGTAGGTGAATAATTAAACCTAAAATATCCAATCAATTAAAACTACTTTTGTATTAGAAGAATTACTTAGGATTTTGAAATGCTTCTTTAAATTTATATAATTGCTTAGTAATTAAATCCTTATAAGATGGGTTCATGTGGAAAATGTTAAAATTTTAAAACATTTGTTTTTGCCTGATAAAGCAATAGAAAATGATATGTGTTTTTTTGTATAAACTATTAAAAAGTTTGTTTAGAAAAGAAAATGTCAACTATAATCATGTCACTCAGAAACAAGTACCATTATTATTTTGCAGTATTCAAAATTCTAATGTTAAATTTGGTTTTTCTCCATATATCAATTTTTAAAATATGGTTTTGTCTCTTTTTGACATACACAGGTTTCATCTATGTATTTATTCATAGCTGAATAATCAATTAATGATTGAAACTTTTAAAAAGATGGTTATAAAAAAGCCATCAGACTTATGGAAGATACAGGAGTATGTACCTATTTGATTGCCTAATCCACTGCTCTCATGGAAGGCCTGTCCAAATGCCATCAGTGACTTTTATTGTGTGGGGCTTCATCCAGTTTTATTTAACTTTCAGATATATCATCTAACAGTATCCATTGATAGACTTTTATGATCTAATAAATAGGCTTTTTCTAATATTTTTATTCAGTTATTTTAAACCTTCTTCCTTTATCCTACTGTTAAATTATTAAACATTATTTAAAAACTATAAAATGTAACTGATTGAATATAGTGCTGTCTGGGAAATTTCACACTGTTGCCATAAGTGACTATAAAGCAAGATCTGTAGTTTTAACAGGATGTTTTTATCTCTTCTGGAGATAGATAGTGAGGGCTAGAGAGCCTTAGAAAATGTTACCAAGCTGTGTATTTTTATTCTTGCTTTTCCTCTATTGGTTACCCTTAATATACATTATAATTTTTAATTTTCCTAAAAATGTCTGCAGTTAGTAGTCTTAACCTCCTCCCTAGGAAGACAAGGACTTTAATACATTTTAACATCCCTTCAATCTCTTGCATGATCTTGCCATCAACTCCTATTTTTGACATTATTATGTTCTAGCTTCTTTTAAAGCATATAATGCTTTAGATATATCAGCATGTTTTGTTGACTTATTTGGTCCCTGTTTTTCCTTGCATCCCATTCTTTTTTTTTCCCCCTGGTCGAAGTAAATTGTTTAGTATTTCTTTCCAAGATAGCTCCTGAGAAGTTAGCTTTTTTAGGTCTTATAAGTCTGGAAATATCTTCTTCTTGTCTGCTCTTTTGAATGATGGTTTGACAACTGGATACAGAATTCTGGTTTAGCTATTTTGCCTTGGAACTTTGAAAATACTTGTCCATTGTTTTTTAGCAGCTCTGGTTATTGAGGAGAACAGTTCTTCTCTTATTCTGACTATACTCTTTTTTTTTTTTTTTTTTTTTTTTTTGTGGGTAATCTGTCTTTTCTCTCTGCAAGCTTAAGATTTTTCTCTGTATCCTGGACCTTTTGAAGTCTTACTGCAACATCTCTAAGTTTGGACTTTTCTTTTTTGGTACTTCTTGTGACTGTTTCTAGTGCTCATGTCTTTTATTAATTCTGGAAAACTTAGCCATGATCTGTTCAAATATTGTATCTCTTCTGTCCTTTCCTTCTGGTATATATATGTATACATATAAACATATGGATATTTATATACTCATATGTATATAGTTTTATATCTCTTAACTCTGATTTATTTAAATATCTTTATCTCTTTACATTCTGTGAGATTTATTGTTTCTTCGTAAAATTAACTAATTTTCCCTTCAGCTGTGTGCAGTTTATTCTTTAGACCATGTGTTGAATTTTTTACTTCACGCTTTTCCATCTAAAAATTTCCAATTGGTTTTTTTCATAAGTATTGTTTTTTCTATAGCCCTACTTTTGTTTCACTGATGCTAATGCTCCTTTTCCTCTTAGAGAATTGTAAACATCATTATTTAAAGTCCATTTCAGATTGCTTAGTTATTTCTATTTCTTTGTATAGGTTTCCCTTCTATTGGGCTTATCAATTACCTTTACAGTGCTGATTTTCTTGTGTAAATTTATTTTTTAAGAGCCTATCTTGCATGGGAATTTTCTTGAATTCATTCTTCCCTGTATGGTAATTCAGCAGTTGCCTCAACTCCACCAGGTCTTGTGATAGTGTGGATAGAACAGCCTTCTGTTCAGAGGCTGGCAGTGAAGTTTTAACTCTGGCTTTATGCAGTGTACTTGGGTCATGTGTGGGGCAGGCTCAGGCCCTTTTCTGTATAAACACTGAAACCCAAAACCTACTGTTCATCTTTGGGCATAAACCGAGCATCCTTTAGTATTGTAGGTTTCCTTTTCTTTTATGGTCCATGAAAACTTTCTTGCTTTTGGACAGAGTTTCACTTTCATATATTTTAAAAATCATTATCCATTATTTCTCGCTTTTGAACAGGGGGCAATTTTGGCATGTACTTACACTGCCATTTTGGTCTGTTATTTTCGTGGGATTTAAAAATAAGTTTTATTTTCAATAAATATTTTTCACACAGGTAAACATGTTTTTACTAAATCTTCTTTATTAATTTAAGATATAATATTTCAAATTACACTTAACTGATATGGAAGAAATAATTGTGAACATTGGTACAAATTATGTATTTTGTCATCTTGTACTTCAAAGCTCCTTGGATTAAACATTAATGAAGAAGAATCAATAGAGAGAACAGAAATAAAGCGCATATTCAGTTGAAGTCTGAAGGAGTTTTTAAGACTCTAGAGAAGAGAAGGTGTAAAATACTAACTTTTGTTTTTTCAGCTGATTTATCAATGTGATTCACACATTTCTGAGGCCACAAACAGGATATATGGCATATGTTGGCCTAAGAAACAAAACAAAACAAAACTCTTCTTTTGTACTTTATTCGATAAATAGCTAAAGCCTACATATGGAATTTTTGTACTGATTCACTCAACAAACACATTGACTTTATATGAGTTGAACTTTATTTAGACATAATGAGAAGCCATTGGAATGTCTGAAATGTGAGGAGACATAATCAGAATTATGCTTTAGGATGTTTGTTTTGGCAAAGGTATGCAGGATGAATTACAAGAGAGAAAAACTGGCCGGGAGCTGTGTCTCATGCCTGTAATCCCAGCATTTTGGGATGCCGAGGCGGGTGGATCACCTGAGGTCAGGAGTTTGAGACCAGCCTGGCCAACATGGTAAAACTCCATCTCTACTAAAAATACCAGTAAAAGAAAAAAAATTAGCCGGGCCTGGTGGCAGGCACCTGTAATTCCAGCTACTTGGGAGGCTGAGGCGGGAGAATCACTTGAACCCAGGAGGCAGAGGTTGCAGTGAGCTGAGATCACACTACTGCACTCCAGCCTGGGCAACAGAGTAAGACTCCATCTCAAAAGAAAAAAAAAAGAAAAAGAAAAAGAGAAAAATTGAAGAATTAGAGAGCTAGTTAGTGGGCTATTGCAAAAGAAGCATTGGGAGTAAATGATAAGGACCTGAAGTAGGTTGTGGCAATAGGGATAGAAAGAACAATATAATAAGGTAAGAATAAGCAGGACTTGGTTGCTGATAGTAAGTGGGAAGCAAGGAGTCAAGAGAAGTCAAATATGAACTGTGGCATGGGGAGAATAATATTGCCATTAAAGAAATTACTAAATCAGACTGCTAGGATTAAGGAACTAAAGAGTCTGCTCATTTTAATGTGTTATGAATTTATAAACTCTTTTTCAGAAGGAATGGTAGCAATAAAGAGGGAAGAAATAGGGTAATAGTTTGAATGGATAGAAGGCTAAAATCTTTCTTAAAGTTTATGCATGCTTGGCTGTGTTTACTGAATATAATCTATTTTATGGGGGTCCCAAAGAAAATTTTTCTGTAGCCATCACAGCTACCTGTAAACATTTATTGTTCATTACCATATGTTTAGAAAATAGAATCAAGAAAGAGCCATTATTTTCTTTTTGATTTTCACATGATTTGGATTTTCCACTGAAGTTCAAGCAAAAGTCAACTTGGGATCTTGGGAATGAACTAAGACGTGGAAATGCTTAGGTCCAACCATGCTCTGAGGAAGGCTTTATGATGGAGATGGAATCAGATACTGAACGAAAGAATTTGAAGTCATTGCAGGGTTATCTCCAGCCAGAGGGGAAATGGCCAGTCAGGAAGAACAACTGGCACAAGGAGCCAGAGCAGTGGCTTGCCGATAACCCTTGGGAAGAGCAACCCTCTCTTTAAGGAAGTCACAGAATTAGCTTCCTGAAAAAACACATTAGTTTGACGATTCACTTGATCTCAAATGAGGTATGGATCATGGTGATTCTTAAAAAAAATGAGGCAGTTTTAGAAAACTTGAGGAAATCCCTCTTTTAGGTTACAAACACCACAAGGGTTTTAAAACAAAAGCTCTTAGCTAAGGGATAATAATTTCCATATGCACGTTTGGTTCTAACATGAGAATATGTTTCCAAAGACGGGTGTATTGTCTGTCTTCAAGGGAATCTTTAAGGCTTATAGAGGCAACTGGCTAGCCACTGAATTCCAGTGAACTCCTGATAGACTCTGCCCATCCCTAATATGTTTTCAATGGTGAGAAATTCTGCCACTGGCCACTGCAGAATTTTCTTTGCTTCCAATTTCCCCATAACAACAGGGCTTTTTCTTGTTTGAGGAGGCTCCCATATCCTAAATGCAGATCCAAGAGAAAAGCTTTGCATGTCCTCATTTGTTCTCCATATTTGTGACTTCTAGTTGGAGTCGACCCTTTTACTGGTAGGGTCGTTATGCTTACTATGTGTCAGGCACTGTTTTGAAGACTTTACAGGTATAGCTCATGAGATCCTCACATCAGTCTTATGACACAGCTCTATTATTATCTATTCTAAAAGAAGAGGAAAGGACAACCCCAACCTGCTGAAAGTTTTCAGCTAGTAAGCGGCCAGCCATCAATTAACATCACTGTGCCATGCTGCCTTCTGTAAGTACAATGTGACTAATGGCTTTGAAACTGAAGAGCTTTTGTGAGTGACTGGTTCATAGTTTTGATAGTGAGGCCAGTGTCCAAATTACCAGTATATTCAGGTTTGGGCCATTTAGCCTCATTTGGAAAAGCCATGGAAAGAATGAGTATTGGAATATGAAAATATGCTAGTCTCTCCATTTCTTAGAGGTGTTATGAATAGTACTTCTTTGTAATTAAAAGTTGTTTCAACTAAGAAACAAGCATTCTTTCGAAAAATATAGTCTCTTCTATTATGCAAAAGAACCAGGCCAGACACAGGTTCACACTAAAAAGACAGGTGTGTAAAATACAGACTCTAATTGTAGCTCAGAATATTATAATATGGTGTGTTTAGAAATAATTATCAAAGAATAAAAACTTAAATTAATATCATATTTGTGGTGAAACTTTCTGTACAATTGAACCATCTGCTGCTCCATCCCTGTCCTCCCCCACATACAATTATAGTCTGTTGTGATGAGATTCTACCTTTTTCACTACCCAGGCTTATCAAAGCTATAAACCGGTCACATAATTCACAGAAGGTTAAAGATACGTGGAGAACTTGGATAGGGTCCAGGGGAGAGCAATGAAAATGATTAACGGGTTGGAAAATAGCACTGATGAAAAAAGATGAATGGAATCAGGATTACCGGTATTGAGAAGGTTTAGAGGTGACTTAATAACTGTCCTCAACTGTATGAAGGACTATTAAGAGAAGCATGGTGACCAAATGTCTTCCAAGAAGGAGAAAAGGATCTAGCCTACAACAGGGAAGATTTAAGCTAGATGTGAATTTCAAACACGATTCTCCTCTCCATCCTCACTAGTGTCATTTATTGACTCTCTTCCATTCCTTGGATCATCATTATTGATTTTTAATGATAAGGATGAAGGTGAATGGCACCATGGCTGAAACAGTTTAATAGATAACTAAAAGATTTCTTCTCATGAAGGCAGTGACTCTCAGTTGGAAGTTTGGAGTAGAAAGATGAATCAGAATCACCACACTGGGAGCTTTTACAAAATACAGATGCTCCAGGGTCCCTCACTGTCCTCTACCTTCCCTTGAAGAATAAGTGCTTTAAAAGATTGTGCTCTCGATTAGTTAATACAGATAGGTGAAAGCAGGAAGATCTTAGTGGTGTATAATAAAACTTTGGTGATGAGTGTATTCAATGGGGTGTTTTGATTAGTTGGCCATTTTAGTTAGCTTATAGCTAATGTATTTCAATGCTTACACCTTGAGAATAGTTTGATCTTTTTAACTTTTCCTTGCTTTAATTGTATTCTCAACAGTTAGAACTTGTGGCATCTGACTTCTTGGGTAGCAGTTTTGCAAAGCATAGCAACATGAATCAAGAGTAAGGCAAAGAGCGGGCTTGGTATTTGGGCTGCCTTACGCCCTTGGGAGCCAGAGAGGAAGAACTGGGCAGTGTGAACTGTCAACTTGTTAGTTTTACCAATAAGTTTACTCTCTGAAAATATTCCCTCTCAAAAATTTATCAGTAAAAATCACAAGAGCAACATCACTTAAAATTAGGTGTTTCCTTTGGGTAATAAAAACTGAGATTGTCCCCTGTTTTAAAATATTAAGGTGGAGGAAATAAAACACAAGGCAAGCAGAGAAGACGGTGAAATGGTCAGTGTAATGTTTACATGTTATGAGAAGGCTGTATAATCATAACAATTATTTTCCCTCAAAAGCTCTACCTCTTTGATCTAGCTCAAATTTCACACCAACCATCAAAGATGATTGCTGCATAAATCTGTATTCTTTCCTACCGTTTAAGGTTATTGGTACTTTGATTAATTTAACCACGTTACTGTCAGGTTGAACACACTCATCTTCTGTTTCAAAGTGTGTACTCGTCAATCTCTCTATGGTTCCTTCCCTTCAGGCCTTATTTCATCACATTTAAGGAGACTCTCCTGCCCTTTATCTTGTTAGGCTTTCAACAGCTTAAGTTGAATCTTCATTCTTTCATTCTTGCTGTCAAGCTTTCTTCAATAGGCTCTCTCATTTCCCTATTCATAAAGTGTCAGGGCTGTTTCTGTTTCACACAGCATTATATGCAGAGTCAGACGTTGCTACAGATTAAATCATTTCCCATCTGAGGAACTTCAGTTACCCAGTATATAAATATACACCCAGTGTATGTGTGAAATATATATATATATGTATACATATGTGTATATATAAAAATACATATGTCTGTATGTCTTACATACATACATATATATGTATGTAAGACAGTGTTCAAAGCAGAGTGTGGTGTTCCTCGTTAGATTCTAAGGGAACTGCAAAGTGAAGGAGGCAGCAATGTGGTTTTGTTACTGGTGGGAGCTCGTGGTGCTATCTGAGAAGGGAGAAGAACCATACAGGTTTTGCAAGAGATTAAAGCTTCATTATTCCTTTTGAAGATGAGGAATATAAAATGACAGTGTTGCACAGGTATTTAGAATCAAGTTTTATGAGACATGCTACTTGATCAAATAAACCATATTTGCAAATAAACCATATTAACGGTGAGTTCTGTTCTTGAGCCCCAGTGCTTGGTACCCAGCAAATGTTCAAGTATCTTTTTGAACGAATAAATGGAGTTGTATGGTATGGCTGGAGGCTCAAGAAAAATGATAGAATACAGTGACTAAAAGACATATTAGCTAAAGTTTCAGCGCTTGAACAAGAAGATTGTTCATTGTTCTGACTATAGCTTTCTATTCTATTTAAATAAGAAAAGACAGGTAGGTACGATTATGTTTCTAAACATGAGTTATTATCATTACTATTTTTTAAAATGGAGTCTCTCTCTGTCTTCGAGGCTGGAGTGCCGTGGTGTGATCTCGGCTCATTGCAACCTCCGCCTCCTGAATTCAAGCAATTCTCCTGCCTCAGCCTCCTGAGTAGCTGGGACAACAGGTGCTCACCACCACGCCTGGCTAATTTTTGTATTTTTAGTAGAGGGGGTTTAGCCATGTTGGCCAGGCTGGTCTTGAACTCCTGACCTCAAGTGATCTGCCCGCCTCGGCCTCCCAAAGTGCTGGGATTAGAGGCGTGAGACACCATGCCGGGCCTAATATGAGTTAATTTTACTGGTTACTCCATTTATTACTATTTCTTTAATAACAGTATTATAGGTAGGGTTATATAATAATAGTATTAAACACGTGTATGGTAAATAACTGTATTTAACTTGATCTTTAATATTATTTTGTGACTGCGCTTAACACAAGTAGTTATTTTTTATTTCCTACTTAGGTTGAAAATATTATACATTGAAGGCAGGGATTGTTATATATGATTCAGGATAAAAATTCCAGAATAATCTTCAGTGGATGACAAGTCCTGAGGTTGGCCAAACCTATAATAATGGCTTTGGAATTGAGCAAAGGAATGAATGGAAAAGTGATCCATTTATTCAACAAGTTTTGCTCTCATACAATGGACTTGACTGCTGTTTCATTGAGTTGGTCAACTAGGTCGTATTTTGCTTTTCATTGAAAGCTAATTCTTTCTTACCCCACGAACTTTCTCTCCTACTTGCTATAATATCTAAATAGCCTCATATCTATTTTCAACACTGTGCATCTTCTCTTCCTTTAAAACTCTTCTTCAAAGTCAGTAGGGTCATGCCACTGACCCCATGAAACTGAATGTGTGTTTGTGCTGAGCAGAATTGAAGACAATACTAATGTACCAAACTTGGGAAGCTTAAAAAGCACTTATCTTTAAGAATTCTAGTCCCAGATAAAAGTGTTTTCTTTGATATTTAAATATGGTCTGTGCCTGTTTTATTGAGTTAAACAAACAAGGCAAAATATAGCAAAAATAGATGAAATTATATCACTTCTTGAACCAGGAAAAGAAACAACTTTTATAATTGGCAATAGATGAATGTGATGTGATTCATAGCATTTTGTACATTTAGTCTTGGAGATCCCATGTTTCTGATTGAAACACGAAACTAGAAGGATTGATGAAGAAAGTGAAAATTTATCATGTAGTTTCTAAAATCCACTTGAGGTTGGTACAAATGTCTTACAGAGCTAGTTTTGTTGGTACGTGGCTCTGGTTGGTAACAATGCTGACTGTGTTTCTGAAACAAGAGGTCCCAAACATTGGGATATGGTTTCCTCTTAGTCTATTAGGAAGTTTTCATTGTTCTGAGACAAAATGAGAAAAATGTAGTTATTCATGAAGATAAATTGAAGTCTTCATTTCAAAGATGTTTGATTATTGTGAGATTATTATTCTTATTTTTCTGTTTTATAGTGCCTTTTCTTTTGTGAAATAATGTTAGTGTCTGTATGTATATAAAATTTATTTATTTTAATTACTGATACTTAAAAGTCTTGGTCTGCAAATCACCAACCTAGAGCCTTTTCTAGTATCATCTGTAGTCCATACTCATGAGACCTGGAGGAAACTCCAGGCCTTTTGGTTAGGACATTTGCCCTGGGTGGATCTACTTTGGTCAGCAATCGTCTCTGGAGTGACTTTAGACCTGATTCCAGGATTTCTAAGTGGCAATATCTATTCTCCTTTTTCATGTTATATACTCAATAATTCATTTGATTTTTAATTATGAAATGTTTCAGACTGGGCATATTGACTCATACCTGAAATCCCAGCACTTTGGGAAGCTAAAGTGGAGGATTGCTTGAGCCCAGGGGTTTAAGACTGGTTTGGGCAACGTAAGGAGACCCGTCTCCACAAAAAATTAAAATGTTAACTGGGGATAGTGGTATGTGCCTATAGTCTTGGTTACTCTGGAGGTTAAGGAGAGAGGATTGCTTGAGCCCAAGAATTACAGACCATCCTGGGCAACATAAGGAGACCCTGTCACTACAAAAAAACATTTTTTTTATATTATGAAATGCTTCAAATACATGAAAAAGAACATAAAAATACCTATATACTCAAATATTAACATTTTGCATATCTACTAACAAACTCTCTTTTGCAAAAGAAAGAAAATATTACAGATAAAGGCCCACCCCTCCTTTCTGTTACTCTTCTCCTATATCCTAAAGTTGGTGTAAAGTATTTCGATGTTCATTTTTGAACTTTAACTGTATATGTTCCATCACAAGCTACAGATTCTCTTTTGGCATGTTTTAAAATGTACATAAGTGGTACTATACTGTACATATCATTCTTCAACTTGCTTTTTTTTACTCAACATCTTGTATTTGAGATTAATCCATGATGATAAAGATTCAACAGATTTATTCACTTTAACTGTCATATGATATTCTATTCTATGAATACACCACAGTTTATTAATTTGTTCCTCTACTTAGAAAAATAGTTGAGTTGTTTCTGCTTTTCTGTTATCACAAACAGGGCTGTATCTAGCATCTCGTTTGGGTTTGTTTGTGCACCTGTGTGAGAATTTTTCAAGATCGATACCTTGAATTGAAATTGCTGGGTTGTGGCTATGTGCATTTTTAACTTTGCCACCTAATAACAGCTCGTGTTGATTGTACACTTTACACTCCTAATAAGAGTGATTCAATTTCTATTTTTGCTAGATCTCTCTTCATCCTGTCCTCTCATACAATGATTAGTATTATCAGATTTATTAATTTTTGAAACTCTAAAGCGCATGCAAAGTCTCATTTGACTTTCTCTCTTTACTAATAAAGTTGATCATATTTTCATGTTTATTGGCCATTCAGGTTTCATTTCTGTGGATTTTGTATCATATTCTTTACAGGCTTTCTTTTTTCAGTTTTACATGACACTAATGCTTTGTTGCTTACATACATTGCAAGGTCATCTCTCAGTCTGTGGCTTGTCTTTCACTTTGTTAATGGCGAACTTTGCTTAACAGGAATTTCTATTTTTGAAGTAGTCAAATCTATGAATATCCCGTTTTATACTTTATATGTTTGTGCTTTTATGCATAGTGGCATCTTGTTTTAGAAATTGTTTTTGACTGATATTATAAAGCTATTTTCTCTTTTAAAAATTTCTATTTTGCTTTACATATTTAGGTATTTATTTGAAATTTAATTTTTGTTTGCATACGAGGTAAGGATCTAGTTTTATCCTTTTTTCTACGCCTAACCAAGTGTTCTGGCTCTATTTATTGAAGAATTATTCTTTTCCCCACTGATTTATTAATAATGCCTTCTCCATCATATACCAAGTTCCCACAAATGTGCAGGTTTGTTCCTTGGGTCCCTGTCCTGATCATTTGGTCCATTTCTTTATCCTGATGCCACAAACACTTTTTTAAAATTGTCACATCTTTTTAAGGATATCTTGATATCTGTAAGCCAAATCTCTTTCTCTTCCTCAAGATTGTTTCAGTCATTTATTCTTCCATATAAAATTTACAGTCAGCTTGTCAAGTTTCACACACATACAAAACCTGTTCTATTTTTATTTAGATTGATTTGACTTGTCACTTTCTCTATATGTTCTCTAGAACAATTTCTTTAGGATGGGATTACTGGTTACTTGAAAATCTGTTAAAACCCCTTCTTTAATACTAGGTTAATGTATTTTGGAGATCAGCTACATATTCAACTTTTTAAATGGTTACATTCAGATTTGCTCTTTATTTATGCGTCAATTTCAGTAAGTTTTATTTTTCTAGGAAGTTATTCTTTTGTCTGGGTTTTCAAATTTATTGACTTAAAAGTTGTTCATAGTAGTCTATCTAGCATTTAAAAATCTCTTGTGTATCTGTATTCCCCCTTTAAATTACTAATGTTTTCATTTATGCTTCCTTTTAAAAAATTAATTCAGATGCCAAAATTTCATCTGTTTTATTAGTTTAAAAGGTATTTTACTTTTCTTTTAAAAACTTTTGTTTTTTTTAATTCTGTTCATCCTTTTCTAAATTTTTGAATTGGACTCATTCATTGGTTTTTACTCCATTTCATTCCTAGTATAAACATTTAAGTCTATACATTTTCTCTAATATTGGTTTAGCTGCTTTTCACAAGTTTTGATATATAATGTTGTCAATATTATTTAGTTTAAATTATTTTATAATTTCTGTCATGATTTCTCTTTTGGCCCATATATTATTTAATATTCTTTAAAATTTCTAAACATGAGTTGTGTTATAGTTTTGTTATTCATTTTTATTGTACTGTGCTTTCTTTGTGGTTAAATATGGCAAATTTTTATAAATGCTTCACATAAACTGGAAAAATAGTGTTTTTATTACTTTTATTACTTTTTTATTTTCTGAGATAGAGTCTAGCTCTGTCGCCCAGGCTGCAGTGCAGTGGTGCAATCTCGGTTCACAGCAACCTTTGCTTCTCAGGTTCAAGTGATTCTCCTGCCTCAGCCTCCTGAGTAACTGGGATTACAGGTGTGTGCCACCACACCTGGCTAATTTTTTTTTTTTTTTTTTTTTTTTGTATTTTTAGTAGAGACAGGGTTTTACCATGTTGGCCAGGATGGTCTTGAACTCCTGGTCTCAAGTGATCCACCCATCTTGGCCTCCCAAAGTGCTACGATTATAGGTGTGAACTACCGTGCCTGGCCTGGAAAAATAGTTTTTGTATACAGACTTCTATATATGTTTGATCAAACTTGTTAATTATGCTGTTCAAATTTTATGTGTTTCTACTAACTTTGGGTCTTTATTAATTACAGAGAGAGGCGTGTTGAAATTTGCCATTATAATTGTGAATTTGTCCATTTATTTCTTGTAATGCTGTCAATTTTTGCTTCATGCTTTTGGAAGTTAAACTATAAATTCCAGTAAGCCTATTGGAATAAATAAATTCCAATTTATTTATGCCTATAAATTCCAAACACTGTATCTCCCTGGTAAAGTTTTCCTTTTGTCATTTTGTAATAATTAGGGAATAATGATTTTTTCATTGAAGTATACTTTGTTTCATATTAATGTAACCACTCTAGCTTTCTATTTTTTGGTATGTATTTTTTTCATCCACTTACTTCCAAACTGAGTCCCCCCACCCCGACCCTCCCGCCCCCTCCCTTTTTTGCATATATCTCTTCCAAATAACACATAGCTGGATTTTGTTTCTTAAATAAATTTGTCCTTCTTTCTCTTCTAGGCTATGTATATCTATTGTGATTAGAGATCTGTTTGGATTTATTTCTTTCTTCTTATTTTCTGTTTTGTATTTGCCCTGCTTTCTGTTTCTTTTTCTTCTACTTGTTTTTCTTTCTCCTTTCCTGCTTCCTGTAAGATTCACCAAATTTTATTTATTTTTTATTTTTCCCTCTCCTACATTCTATTTGTGTTTTCTTAAATAAGCACAAATAGATATTTAATGTGCATAATTAACAAGCCTCACATTAAGTAATATCTACCCTCTTTCTGAAATATGGAAACACTGTAGATCACATTAATTCAGATTGTCCCCCTCCCCTGCCCCCAGTTTACATGCTAATTGCTGCCAAGTGTTTTCGTTTCACCTTGTACTTACAACTTCCAAAGGAGTCATGTTATTAATGCAATTAATGATTATTTAGATTTATACACATTATTTACCAATTTATTTTCTCACCATTGTTTCTTGTAT
Organism: Homo sapiens; assembly: GCF_000001405.40. Classification (NCBI taxonomy): domain Eukaryota; kingdom Metazoa; phylum Chordata; class Mammalia; order Primates; family Hominidae; genus Homo; species Homo sapiens. The sequence continues at coordinate 169,487,231 of NC_000003.12, read as the reverse complement.
CCTACTCCTTCCTTCCGGGTTCAATATTATTCTTCTTGAAGTATATTCTTTAGATTAATTTTAGTAATGTTTTGTGAGTAGTAACTTCTCTTCACCTTTGTCTGTCTGAAAATATCTTTATTTTACTCTTTTTTTTCAATTAGTTTTTGGACTATACAATTAAAAATGTGAAATAAAAATTAAAACCAAAAGAAAGACATGAGATATCATTTCTCTAATGACAAATTAAAAAAAATCTAAATAGAACTTGATGATTTAAAAATTAATTAATTATTAAGGAAACATTTTGTGGTCTCTAGAAGATTATTCTACAGGTCAACCAGGTTATGTCTAAACCTGAAGTTCCTTTTGTCTGCTTGCTTTCTCTCCTAAAAGAGTATTTGCTTGAATGTTTTGTAATTTGGGGCTGTGTGCTCATTTTCACAAGGCTTTATCTGAGAAAATCTTGTAGAGCCTACATTTAGAATACGTTGCTTTGGAGTAGTTTCACATTTGTTTCTGGGGGTTTCAGACTGAGTTTATATTTGATGAGCATATTCCTCATTCTCTATTCCAATCCTAAATCCCAGGAGATAGCCTTTTTTCTTTTTTTAACTCAGATTGATTAATTATCCAGGTGTTCTTCCCCTTCTGGGTAATCAAAATATATTTTCAATAGATCTTTGTGCATCAAGTATCATTTTCTTCTTCATTCCCTCAGTACCGATACCAAAATTATCTTTCTCAAAGGAGATTCTGATCATATTAATTCTTCATGGTTTACCATGAAGATACAGAACAAGCTCCAAATACTTGGAAAGATCTGAGCCTTGCTGTTTGGTTTCTGGCCTCAAAATTCTTCTCTCATAAACACTTGATGCTTAAGTTGAAAATTTTTTAACATTCCTGGAATGTATAATGAGCACTCTTGTTTCAATGCCATTACATGTGCTGCTTCATTATTAGCTATCCTCCTTTACTTAGTAAACTTCTACTATTATTAAAGACTCAACTTAGGCATTGTGGAGAAGTGCTTTCATGCTTGGGTTGAATATAATTTTGTTTTGTTATTGTTTGTTGATTTGCTTTTAAAGAATAATTAAAAACACAAAAAGAGAGTTTATCATTTTATATTAGTGGGCTCTTCATATTTCCACACCTAAAACCACATCAAACTTGGTGATGTCTCTGGGATAGTGTATATATATATACATATATATATATACTATATATACATATATATATAGTATATATATACATATATATACTATATATATATGTATATATAGTATATATGTACATATATACATACATATATACTATATATACTATATATACATACATATATACTATATATACTATATATACATATATATACATATATACTATACATATGGTATATACACACACACACATATATATACATATATATATTTAGAGGAAGAATTGTACATTTCAAAGTTATCTCTATTGGTGGATTTATTAGCTAAATGCAAAATCGCATATTTCGTTGCCAAATTGCCTTTTTGAAGGTGAAAAGTAAAGGGAGTGTATCTGAGCACGCAGCCTTTTTAGTAAAATAAAAAGATCTGCATACTCATTTGCCTTTGCTACTAAGTAGCTGAGTGTCTTCTCTCTTGCTTTGATTTCCCTCTTTTTAAAGTGAAAATGTTGGATGAGATGATCTTCAAGTTTCCTCTCACCTCCAAACTTCTAGTAATTTGATAAAGTGTCTTAGCTTTCTAGAGATATTTTATTGTAACCCTCTCTTTTTAGTTGGTAAATTTAAGTTAATGAATGTCTCACAATTCTTAGAAAATAAATTATCTCTAAGGTAAATTTGCATTTAAACTATTTTGTTGACTACAAAGTGATTGGTTAATATAACACTAACGAGAATATTCTGGCTAAAATAAAATTTTGTTTTTAACCTTATTTTGATTTAAAAGAGCAAGAGCGGCTGGGTGCAGTGGTTCATCCCTGTAATCCTAGCACTTTGGGAGGCCGAGGCGGTTAGATCACCTGAGGTCAGGAGTTTGAGACTATCCTGGCCAACATAGCGAAACCCCGTCTCTACTCTAAATACAAAACTTAGCCAGACGTGGTGGTGCATGCCTGTAATCCCAGCTACTCAGGAGACTGAGGCAGGAGAATTTCTTGAACCCAGGGGGTGGAGGTTGCAGTGAGCCGATATCATACCACTTCACTCCAGCTTGGGTGAAAGAGTGAAACTCCATCTCAATAAATAAATAAATAAATAAATAAGCAAGAGTAAAGATCAGAAATGCAGTACTTCGGGAAAGGTGCACTTGAAGCCCCGTTAATAGGCAAAGCTCTCCCTAAGTAATATCAACTAGCTAATGTAATCAGTCTCGGTGCTTGCTTTACTACTGATATATCTGAGCTGGTATGCTATAGAGATCAATAACTCTTTTGATATGCTTGTCAATTTGTAGTGTTGATGAGCAATTTCTCTTAAGGAGTCTGCCTTCCAATGTTAGTGTGCCTTCATAGGAAATAAAAGTGCCATAATTTCATGTGAAACATCCATCTGTTGTTAATATTTAATTATTATTTCCATTATTAGCTGAGATGTCTCAATCCCTGAAAACTTTAATCAACTGCTCCTAAATTTACTGTGTAAAATAAATTTTCTTTAAAATTTCTTTGAGGTGTTTATATAAGTTAATAGCTAATTGCATTTTAAATCTTGAATGGAAAACTAGAATATTTATGATGTTTAAGTCATTAGAATTGGGCAGAGCATCTTTTTAAATGGAAAAGAATATTGGAAAGAAATAAATATCTTTTGCTGAAATTTATGGAAGTACACACTAATCAGCTGTGATATTTAAATTTTTTTCTCCCTAAGTTTGTTACCTTTTACCTTCCATATTTTTTATGTCTCTCAATTCTTCTAACCAATATTTTCTTTAGCCCTCTTCTTTATCTCCTCTTTCTTTCTTTTTTCTCTTTTGTTTCTTTTTAAAATTTCTCCTTCCTTTGTTCTTCATCCTTTCTTTCTGTTATAAACATTCACATATTTACAAAGCTCATCAATAAGTGCAAGCAGTAATGGGATTGGGCAAAGCAAAATGTTGAATTGTGAGATAAAAAGAATCACTTTTTGTTTACTAGAGAAATTGAAATATAACAGAATAACAATAGATTATTTTAAATGCCTGGTAGCTATAGGTTGTACTTTCCATTAGTTATATAAAACAATGGTTTTGGGGGCAAAAAAAAGAAGCAAGTTCTGAAGTTCACTCTTGATTGCACCCACCCTGTAGAATCATGGATGCTGCCAATTTTGAGCAGTTTTTGCAAGAAAGGATCAAAGTGAACGGAAAAGCTGGGAACCTTGGTGGAGGGGTGGTGACCATCGAAAGGAGCAAGAGCAAGATCACCGTGACATCCGAGGTGCCTTTCTCCAAAAGGTATTTGAAATATCTCACCAAAAAATATTTGAAGAAGAATAATCTACGTGACTGGTTGCGCGTAGTTGCTAACAGCAAAGAGAGTTACGAATTACGTTACTTCCAGATTAACCAGGACGAAGAAGAGGAGGAAGACGAGGATTAAATTTCATTTATCTGGAAAATTTTGTATGAGTTCTTGAATAAAACTTGGGAACCAAAATGGTGGTTTATCCTTGTATCTCTGCAGTGTGGATTGAACAGAAAATTGGAAATCATAGTCAAAGGGCTTCCCTTGGTTCGCCACTCATTTATTTGTAACTTGACTTCTTTTTTTTTCTGCTTAAAAATTTCAATTCTCGTGGTAATACCAGAGTAGAAGGAGAGGGTGACTTTACCGAACTGACAGCCATTGGGGAGGCAGATGCGGGTGTGGAGGTGTGGGCTGAAGGTAGTGACTGTTTGATTTTAAAAAGTGTGACTGTCAGTTGTATCTGTTGCTTTTCTCAATGATTCAGGGATACAAGTGGGCTTCTCTCATTCATTAAAAGAAAATGCGACATCTTTCTAAGATTCTCTGTGGGAAAATGACTGTCAATAAAATGCGGGTTTCTGGGCAAAAAAAAAAAAAAAATAAAAATAAAAATAAAACAATGGTTTTTCACTCCATGTATTTATTTAAACATAAATTGGTCTGCAGGACTGTGTTCTATATGTTAAGTTGTAGTTTTGGCTGCTAGTCGAGTATACCATGAATTAATAATCACCTGATACTGATTCGAGTTGAGGTGAATACCAAGATTTATTGACCCAAGTGGAAAATATGGACCAAAGTGAAACCTCTGTCAATATTTATTTACCTTTACAGGAACAATTAATCTTGATACTCCTTGAAACAAGAAGTCAATATATGTATTGTTATGTACTTTTGGAGACTTCCATTAGAAATATTGGCAAGTCCCTGCTTCGTGGCCATAGATTTAAAAGGCCTATCAATTTTAAATGTTTCGGTCATTGAGAGCTAAAACATGTAACATATCACAGTGTTATTCACCAGAAATAAAAAATCAAGAGTCTGCTCAGAGTAGGTTAATATGAGTTCCTTTCTTCAGTCCAGCTGATGGTTTTTAGTAAGATGAACTGCCAAGGAGACAATGAGCACTGACTTCTCGATGCATGACTTCATCTTGTTAGAAGGTGGGTTGCCGGGCGCGGTGGCTCACGCCCGTAATCCCAGCACTTTGGGAGGCCGAGGCGGGCGGATCACGAGGTCAGGAGATCGAGACCATTCTGGCTAACACGGTGACACCCCGTCTCTACTAAATATACAAAAAATTAGCCGGGCGTGGTGGCGGGCGCCTGTACAGGTCCCAGCTACTCGGGAGGCTGAGGCAGGAGAATGGCTTGAACCCGGAAGGTGGAGCTTACAGTGAGCCCGGATTGCACCGCTGCATTCCAGCCTGGGCCACAGAGCGAGACTCCGTCTCAAAAAAAAAAAAAAAAAAAAAGAACGTGGGTTAAGCTCCCCTGTAACAGAGCTCTGCAGTGCTCCTCCCCATGGTGAATGACACAGGCGAGTACACGCCCCAGTGTGTCTTAGTTTCATCATGAGAACTTTGTAAGCAGCCTGTAAGGGAAGTACAGACTGTGAGATTTAGACCCCTTTTTTTTAGTTGCTTTTTTTTTCTCTAATAAGATCGTGGTGGAGGTAAAAGAAACTGTTATTTCACAGTGACTGGAAATGTAATGAAGTACTTGATATCTATGCATGAAGTGTTAGAGTTGAATTTTTAAGGAGAGAGATAGCATATTCCCTCCAGTCTATAAATTCCTGATTCAGAACATGATCTCAAGAGTTGTACTTTACATTTCTCTTCCCACCACCAAACAATAACAAAAAGAAGAAACAAATGAAAACTATCAGTGCCCAGTGGGAATTCCAGTTGGGGCAGATCTTTGAGATATGGTATTAAAATGATGACTTGTAATTAAGAATGAAACCTTTTTGCTCCATATACATGTAGATGAAAAGCTAACACCTCACCATGGAGCAGTCATTGCAGTAATGTTCATTCTCTTTTTACTTAACAGAAACCAGAGGTTGTTGTGTCTAGGGAAATGTCCAACAAGCTAGTGAAGTGTGTTGAGGACACACACACACACACACACACAGATTTGTCACTGGAATAATATATATTTATTTGTGGAATAGACAAATTATATTCTAGACACTGTGAAAAGTTTTTAGTTTTTTTTTTATTTTTAAGTATTTATTTATTTATTTGAGATAGAGTCTTGCTCTGTCACCCAGGCTGGAGTGCAGTGGCACCATCTTGGCTTACTGCACCCCCTGCCTCCCAGGTTCAAGCGATTCTCCTGCCTCGGGCTCCCAAGTAGATGGGACTATAGACATGTACCAAAATGTCCAGCTAATTTTTGTATTTTTAGTAGAGACTGAATTTCACCATGTTGGCCAGGCTGGTCTTGAATTCCTGACCTCAATTGATCCACCCGCCTCGTCCTCCCAAAGTGCTGAGGCTTTTTTAAAATTGCCAATCCCAACATTGTCTCAGAATTGTTTTTAATACCCAGCATAACCTAACATGCCAAGATATACAGCTAAAAGTCATGAATTGGCTAATGTCCATGACCGATTAACACATTAGTAGATTTGTGTTCAGCTTAAAAACTTCTTAACTTGTTTTTTTAACCGATGTTTTCTGTCATCCTGGGGTGATGATTTGCTTTTTTGGGGGGGCAGGTGTTATTTATTTTTATAAAGTTTAATTCTTTTTCTGGTTAAAACAGAAATGTACACTCTCTTTTTGTTGACTTGTGAAGTACAGAAACGTGTTTTAAGATTTTGTGCCATGTATTGTTAATGAGGATAGCAAAAACAAAACTCAACAAAACAACAACAAATAACAAACAAGCCCCCCCGCCCCAAGAACTCAGAAACACCAGGAAAAATGGCATCTTTTAATGTGTTGATCCTTGACACTCTGCAGACAGTAGCAGCAAAAAACACACATCCACAAATATGCCCCTTAATCTTCAGAGAGGAGCCTCCTGAAAAGCACAGGCTTCTAGGATGTGGCTCAGAAACAGCTTATCTCCCTTCATCTCCTTTTTGAAGAACAAAAACCACCCACCTCATTGGTTACCAGGTCGCCCTATCATCAACCAACCAGCTTGGACAAACACAGCAGAGAACACTAAAGGATCCTATACTTTGACTAGTGGAAGGAAAAATGGCTGGTGATATAAAAGGCCAACTTATTTACGTAAAGAGGTATTATAAATGGTACGGGCAAAGTGACTAAAGAGATGAGAAAAAAAGTGGGAAAGAGAAGGAGAGGAATGGCAGCCACAGGGGAAGGGGTTGGGGGAGCAGTGGACTGAGAGCAGATGAGAAGGAGGAAGAGCAGTGTAGGGCCAGCGAGCCACCTGTATACACCTTGTAAATCCTTTTGTTCCTACTTCTGGGAAGTACTCCAGTAGTACTTGAAGAACTCAGATTGCAGTGTTGAAGGCAAGCTAGCAGGTAGAGCCCAATGCTTTGAGGTGGAGATTAGGATGGAAGGTATTCATGGGACAGTATATGTGATAAAGAAGCTCTTTCAATTAAATAAAAAGAAGACAGCACTAGCTTGCTTGAAAAAACACAATTATATTTGAATTCTTCACATGTCAATATGTTAGTCTTTGGCAACCTACAGAAAACCATCATCATACTTTTTTTATACCAATAGTGATGACTCCACTTTGACCAAAAGGCGAATCAATGTAGAAAAAAGTCCATTGTCTTCACTGTGGAAAGTACATCGAATCTGGAGTCAGATGGATTAGCATTCAGGCCTCTTGGTAGTTTTCTGATATTGGACAATTTACTTACTCTGTATTTGTTTCAGTTAAAAAATGGGGAATTTGTCTTAACATTTTTGTGAGTATTAAAATAAGAGATTTTAAAGGTGCCTGGCACAGTGCCTGGGACAGAGTATGTGCTCAATTATATTAGTCACGTTCCTGCCTTGTCAAGAGCTTTTCAGGTCCCTATAAGGAAAAGGCCATAAAATTTAGAAGACATTAGGCATGAGTTTTAGTGGTTATATCACCAAATGTGTCTGCTTTCTAAATTTGTGCCTGAGAATCAGGCAAATTTTTTTTTTTTTTTTTTTTTTTTTAGGTAAGAGAAAATCTGAAAATGAGACGTTTCATTCACCTCCATATCTTTACTGCTCAGACACATTGGCTGATATCTGCTTGGCTTTACTTCCAGTGCTTTCTCTAATTGCAGAGGCATGTGAAGGCCGTAATCTTTAGAAGAGCCTTCAAAGCCTTGCATGGTCTGGCCCTGCCTGTCTTTCCAGCCTCACCCTTGTGACCGTCTCCTCCACTGTCTATGCTCCAGCCACACTGGGCTTCATTCTTTCCTCCACCAACCCAAACTTTCTCCTTTCTTAGGGTCTTTGTTACCTCTGCTTGAGATACTGTTCCTAGACGCCTCCCTTTCCTTCTTGTTGCTGCTCATCTCTGTCTCTTGCACACACACACACACACACACACTCACATCCCTATCTATGTGAATTCCTACTTGCTTTATATCTCACCTTAAGTGTCACTTCCTGCCTGAGACCCTAGCGTATGTTAGATTTGCTGGTCAAAAGCTTTTCCAGCATTCCTCCTGCTACTTATCACATTTATGACTAATTAGTTATCTTGGTAGATGTTGGCTAATGTCTGTCTTTCTGGCTACAGTATTAGTAAAGACAGGGATTATGTTTGTCTGAATCACTACTGTGGCCCTCCCATTCAGTTCTATGCCTGGTACATAATAGGTGATCAACAAATATTTTGGTGAATAAATAATGCTAGATGCAGAAACAAATTAGTGACTACATCATTGTAGCATTACAAGATTGTGGAGTCCTACTGTGTTCCACATCAATAACTGCTGGCTCTGTATGGTTAATCTGTGCTCTCTGAATTGTAAAATGACCCAGTATGGTTAAAAATGGGCCTAAAATGACGTAAATGGTTTTTATCACAGAGGAACACCCCCAGATATTTGTTCACAAAGGAAGCTGGTTTAGCCTAGGAATTGGCATCCCTTCTCCTGTATAGTTTTTTTAAGCCATAATACTCAAGTCTATCAAATATCCTAGCACAATACACACAACCTTAGGGAAGTGGCAGGCACCAGTCGCTATTCCCGTGGGTGGTTAAGCCTTTGGTATCTGGGAACAACTGAAGGGTAGTAATTGGTGATACTTATTGTCTGAACATAACTCAATCTTGGCTTAGCTTGGGAAGTATTCGTACCCTCACTTGTGGGGGTGCTTGGCCAAAGGCAGAGGTGTCCCTATAGGTCACTCTGAGGCATTTTTATCTGCACAATAGCTATTAACAAGTAATGGGAAAAGTGGAGATAGGCTGGTTACTCTAGGTGGCTGTAAAACAAGTGTAGATAGGACACAAAGGAGCAGCAGAGTGAGTACACATGACAAAAACCATACCGCATATTGAATTCTGCCTTGACAATATCATTCTTCTACAGTTGTCAATATTAATACTTTTCTATAAGGAAATGGAATGACATTAATGATACATGCAACATCCTTTATGTAAAAATGCCCCAAATCCAAGAGCCTTCCAGAGCACCAGGAAAAGTTTCAGAGCCATTGGATGTCTCTCTTTGTCAGATGCCACGGTGTCAGGCTCCGAGCCATTTGTCATCCCTGAATTTCATTATCTGCTCCTTCCCTGTCTTTCATTCTCAGTTTGCTAGGACATTTGTTCACCGTTGACCTCCCTGACAAATAATACACCTTAATTATGTTGGCAAGAGGGGATATGTCATTCCTGGGCCACTTTAATTGTCTATCCGACAGGCATCCTGCTGTGGCATGTAGCTTCTGTGGTATTTTGACTGCAGTGGTAGGACTATCCTGTGCTTGCGCTTTGTCTAGAGATAGTCTCAACTTTTACAGGTTCTGAAGATAATATGTCTTATTGAAGCCGTGTATCACTTTTGTTTTGCAGTTGCTAAAACAAGCTCTCACATTAATTTGGTGGAAACAGTACAGATTGGCTATCTACAAGGTTTGCCTTGGAAAGCAAAAAAAAAGTCTGCATAAGGATTTAGAATGAAGTAAATACTGAAATAACTACAAAGGTTAAGAAGAAAGGTGTTTGGGCATATCAGGAAGCTCCACAAAGGAAAAACAGCTGACTGCAGCTCCAGGAGCAGGACGCAGAGCCTCTAGTTTAAGTCAGCTAATCCTTTGCAAGAAACAGAGAAGTGCTCTTGGCCAAAGATTAATCTTACAATTCCATTCTCACATAAAAATCCTGCAGCCTATAACAATCTTGACTTCGGGACTCAGAAAAAAATTCTCTTTTATACCTTGCAAGGATTTGGATCATTGATGGTCTTCATTTTGGCACTTGTTTGTGTTTACTCCAAGATTTTTGTGCAATTCTTTGCCCATGGGAGAATGACGGGGCGCAAAGATAAAAGCTGATGAGGGTCTCAGCAGCACTTCGAAGTTGTGGGAGCCAGTTACCATTTGGAGTTCTCCTTTGACAGGGGTAGATGCCTTAATTTGAAATGCCATTTAACTAGGAATCTACCTAGACCTTTGCAGTGTGAAGACTTCCTATTGCAAATGAAATTGTGTGTGTGTGTATATATATATATATATATATATATATATATATATATATATATACACACACACACACACACACACACATCTTACTTATCCAGACCTCTAGGCACATATTATGTCGCATGTAGGAGTTTATTAACATGAGTATTTCTAAAAAGAAAGCTATTTTATCCATAGCAGCAGGTAAAATTTTAGTTTGTTGGCACAGTCCGTTGTCTCATCTCTCTTTTCTTCTGCCTAACCTGTCTTTGCCGGTTTTCTCATCAGTGGAACATGTTGCCTGTGAGGTTAGGGGAGAAAAAGAAAAAAAAAAAGAACAGCATCAACAAAAAATAGCATCTTCTTCCACTCAACCTGCAAGGCTTCACAAGGGTAATCTCAAAGGTCACCTGGCTCCTGTTTTGGCCAAGAATATGTGGATTAGGGTCACAGGAGGGCGAGATTTTAATTTCACAAAAATATGTAAAGGGAAGGGGGAGAAGGGGGAGAAAAAAAAGATTACTTGCAGAGAGCATGAGTACCAAGGGAGGCATGCTTAGGTGACTAACGACACCTCTATCAGAAGAACAAACTCGATCTGCATCAAGCATTGAGACAGATGAGGCCAATTTCACACAGTAAATTTCTTGGCCATGATTGATGTGCCCCTGCCGCTGAATGTGAGCAAGCTCTCTCCGCACCTGTCAAGCACCGGGCAGACAGGGATCTATCAAAGCGTTATTGATGACTTTACACTGTACTCTGCAAATAAAATGTAATGGGCTAACTGGAACATAGATCTGAGTGATGTTACTTATATATTAAATATGTCACATCTGTAGAACAAATGGTGGTTAGATAAGAGTTATCATCTTCAGGGCTCAATAAATATTTTATCAAGCATAATGGAAATTGTCAAATCAATCTAATTGTGTAATACATTATGAAGACATCAAAATTAAACAAAGCACATATGCTATCATTTCATTTTATTAGTGGGCCACTGTTGTGCCCAGGAGGTCTTGTGGTGGTTGAAGGCTGGCAGAGTTAATACTATATATATGTTTCCCTTTCCTCTCCCTCTGCTGCTTATGGAACTGGCTAGATATTTCATCAAAGTATTAATTTCTCAAATGCAGACAACTTCAAGGCATAATTAGATTAGGGAGAACAAAGCTGCGAAAAGTGGCATCAAGCCACAAATTCACTTTAGCCATATTTAGAGCAAATATCTCTGTGCTTCCATTTCATTTTATTTATCTTTATCTGATTTTATACTGTTGCAATAAAAAAAAACCCAACATGAGCAAGAATTATCTTTGAGCCAGAGACATCCATGCTAGCTCCTAACTAGCAGCAACTGATGTTTCAAAATACCTTTGTCGTTTTTGTTATTGGTGGTTAAAAACCACTTGAGGTTTCCCTCCTCCTCCCCCTTTTTTTTTAATTGGCAAGCTAGGTACTTTACAAAGACTATGGAAAGGATTACAAAATCTGGCAAGACTGGCTTTGGCTTGGTGAATTTTAAATATGCATTTAAGGAATGATTGCGTCTTTCTTTTCTACCCGATTTAAGACAGCTATTAGATTCGGAAAAAAAAAAAACTTCGACTTTTTAGTCACTATTTTTAATGTGCTAAGGAAACATTACCATTTCATCCATGTGTCCATTAAAAGAAAGGGCAGCCCGTATTCCTGGCCTTAGAAATTCTCAGTTTGGCTTGTCACTGTGATCAAATTCAGTCCCAGGGTGCATAAGAGGAAGGTCATGAAACATCCTGTGCCCAGTTTTTCCAGAAGCAAAATGGGAATAACTTAAAAAAACACTTCAACCGTCTTGATAAAGTTGGGCCAGGGGACAAAGTTTGCTGCTTGTCAGGGTTAGAACTAAAATGGTTATATTAGGATAATCATGAAAGATACTTATTTCAATATTAAATGACTTTCAGAATGAAGTGCAACCATTGGCAACAAATAAGAGCACAAATTGTCTTTTTTCCCCTATAGAATTATATGCTATGTTATCATTAAAAGGAATTTCAAGTGATTTGTATGTGCATTTGTTACCAATAAATACATGGACTCTGTTCTGATTGTTTACGTGCTGTGTTAGTAATTCAGACTGTTGGCCTGAGGAGAATACAGTAGGAGTTGTTCAGGCTTTAAGAATCACAAAAACTGAAATTGGAACTCAGCTTGGCCCCTACTAGCAATGAGATCTAGGGTAATACATGTAACTTTATCGAACCTCAGTATTCTATTCTGTAATATGGGATAATAGTATCTACCTACAGATTTTATGAGGTAGGCAGACAGATATCAATATAGATTGATTAGATACCATCATAATGGGTGGTTAAGTACTAGACACTAAGCTAATATATATCAGTTATCTCTTCTCACCTGCAGAATCATTCTGGGGGCAAATATTAATCCACATTGATGACATAGGTTTCAGAGAGCATAAAAAACTCAGAGTTTTTGTATCTTCCAAATGATTTCTCTTCTTTGGTGGAGGATTAGCAGTTATTACACAAAACATGGGCTGCCAACCTCAAACCCTGCTTTTAACACCAAGGTTTCACATAATAGAGTTTTTAGCATTAGGGAAAAAGCAGTTACTTTATATCTAATCATAAATATATATGATTGTAACAATATAATTTATATAATATTGATAAAAATTAAGCTGTTGCAATAAAACTGTCCCATCAACCCAAGGTGGTATATTACCATTCTGTTGACATTCCATTTTCAAGGATATTTTATGTTGGGTTGTAAGTACAGACTGACATCTATATTAATAAACCGTATATTGAAAAAAGGAAAGAATGATAGGGGTGTTGGGTAAGTGGCTTTTTCTAGTATGGAGCATTAGGCTGGAAGGCTGGACTTCAGGAACTGACGTTTACAAAATACCAAAGATAGTAATGAAGTTTGTTGTTGTTTGCTCTCTCGGCTGACTTTAGACAGTTGTCTTCCTAGTGGGATTGCTTGGAAATTATTATTGATGCAGATCCTTCCACAAGGTCTATTTAAACCTCTCCCTTCAATGTGCCACTACAAAAGAAATTCATCTTGTGAATGAGAGGTGGCACGTGGTGACTGACTAAATTGTTTGACATGCTCATTAGCATTCTCAAACCTGGACCATTTCTACCTAAGCTACTGACCCAATCTGTCCTGTTGAGTCGTGCTCATAGGAAAAGGGAGGAAAGATGCGAGCGTATTCTTTCTCTCTGAGAACCTGTCTATAGATTCAATTATCTATCTATCTATCTATCTATAGATATAATGAATACTACATATATATAGTATTTATTCTTCCTTCTCTTTTGCTATATGTGTAATTGGCTTCCCTCTCTTGTACCCAAAACTAATAGTGTCTGGTATTTTGTTTTTGTTTTTGTGTTTTTTCTAAGAGGGAGTCTGGCTCTGTCACCAGGCTGGAGTGCAGTGGAGCAATCTCGGCTCACTACAACCTCTGCCCCCCAGATTCAAGTGATTCTCCTACCTCAGCCTCCTGAGTAGCTGGGACTACAGGTGTGTGCCACCACACCCGGCTAATTTTTGTATTTTTAGTAGAGACAGGGTTTCACTGTGTTGGCCAGGATTGTCTCGATCTCCTGACCTCATGATCCACCCACCTCAGCCTCCCATAGTGCTGGGATTACAGGCATGAGCCACCACGCCCTGCCGTATCTGGTGTTTAAACATATTTCTTCCTTCGCCTAACCTGTAGGACAGCAAGAAAGTAGTGACTTCTTAATGTTCTCAAAATCGTGTTGCTGAATTTCAAGTTTCACAATATTTAGGGATAGTGGTCTCTCTTTTCTCTTTTTTCAGTGGCTGGGAACCTCATATATTCGCTCTTGTGTTTTTGGCTAGCCTGTGGATTAGGATGAAGGCCAGATAAATCAGCAGTTTGTAGATAGGGTGATCATTCTGATCACCAGAGAAGTTTCAAAAGTACAAATTCCTGAATCTACTTCCAGACAGCCTTATTTACCTTAGAGATCTAATGTAGAAATCAGGATTCTGTATTTCTGACAAAGCTTCCAAGATTACTTTTGATTCTCTCACAGGTTGGAACCACTGTGGTGGACCTCCTTTTGGAAACCAGGAGACTGTTGGATGCTAATGACTCCTTCTCTAGGTTTTTCTCTGATTTAAAAATCTTTGACATTTGGCATGGTATCTGGGTGGTGTCTACATATTGATAACTACCAGGTAGGGACAAAGTAGGGGCCTAGTAAATATTTTGATTGATTTTTAGAACATGTGACATATTTGTCTTACCACAATAGTAAGCAGTCATTAAGACCTTGTCTTTGAACTTTATGTCGGTTAAACACATGATTAGGATTTTCTATAAATTGAACAATTTGAAAAAATGAACACTAAGGCTTATATTACTTTCTTTCCCTCCCTCTCTTCTTCCTTCCTTCCTTCCTTCCTTCCCCCTCCCTCCCTTTCTTCCTTTCCTTCCCTTCCCTTTCCTTTCCTCTCCTCTCCTTTCCTTTCCTTTCTTTTCTTTTCCTTTCCTTTCCTTTTCTTTTCTTTTCTTTTCTTTCCTTTCCTTTCCTTTCCTTTCCTTTCCTTTCCTCTCCTCTCCTCTCCTCTCCTCTCTTTTCTTTTCCTTTCCTTTCCTTTTCTTTTCTTTTCTTTCCTTTCCTTTCCTTTCCTTTCCTTTCCTTTCCTTTCCTTTCCTTTCCTTTCCTTCTTTCCCTTCCTTTCCTTTTCTCTCCTCTCCTTTCCTTTCCTTTCCTCTCCTCTCCTCTCCTCTATTATTTTTCCTTTTTTTTAGAGATGGGGTCTCACTATATTGCCCAGGCTGGATTCAAACTCCTGGGCTCAAGTGAACCTCCTGCCTCAGCCTCCTGAATATATTATTATTATTGTTTTTTTTTTTACACAATATTATAGGCACCATTGGGTGAACTAACCTCTTGAATGGGGAAATAAACTTTAATTTTTTTTTAATTTTTAATTTTTGTTGGTACACAGTTGGTGTGTATATTTATTGGGTATATGAGATATTTTGATACAGGCATACAATGTATAATAAGCACTATAGGGTAAATGGGGTATCCATCACCTCAAGCACTTATCCTTTCTTTGAGAGAAACACTCTTAGGATCCTTGCACATGTAGTCATGGCAAGATTTTGTTATATTTTAGAATTCCAGACAACATGAAGTCTAGCCCAAGTCTACACAGCTAAAGATCTTAAACTGAAAGTTCAAGACATGTGGACAACAAAACATGGTTGCTAAAATGAAGGGGGCATAAATAAATGCACATCATCAAAGTAAGTGGGCATAAATAGAATAGTAAGGAAAACTATTAAATAGAGTGAATTGTATAAATGGAAAATGGGAACTTACAAGGAGAAAAACAGAAGAGGGAAACGACATGGAAGTGCTTTGTTTGCCTCCAAAATTATACAAATGTGATTCCAGGCATTGTGATGAGGAGCCAGGAGGAAAGAATAAACAAGAAATTATAGGCACATAGCAAAGGAGAGTGGTTAACATATAGGACTTAGGCAATGTAGTGCAGTATCATGGGAGCTGAGAAATCTAAGGAAGAATAATTAATGCTCAGCTGGGATGGTACTTTCCTCCTTGTTGGATTCCTGGATATAAAGCCCAAAGAGCGTGTGACTTTTCTGAGAAGTTTCACTTAGTTTTCATCAGTGTTCTCCATTATCTGATTAAATGATAAATCTGCTTTCATTTAAATATATGTATTCAATGCTTGCTAGGTAGGAGTTACACAGGATAGGTGTCTAGAATTTAAAGCAGGAATTTTTTTTTTTTTCCTGAGGTAAACTTAGAAAGAAAAGCAGAAGCAAAAATAAAGGTAAAGAGATTTAAAAAAAAGAGACATTGAGGCTGGGTGTGGTGGCTCATGCCTGTAACCCCAGCACTTTGGGAAGCCGAGGCCAGTGTATTGCTTGAGCCCAGGAGTTAGAGACCAGCATGGGCAACATGGCTAAACCCTATCTCTACAAAAATACAAAAAATCAGACGGGCATGCTGGCACGTGCCTATAGTCCCAGCTACCCTGGAGGCTGAGGTGGGAGGGTTGTTTGAGCCTGGGGTGGGGATGGGGGTATTGGGGAAGTTGTGTGGAGAAGGGTTGGAGGAGGCTGCAGTGAGGCAAGGTCACACCACTGAACTCCAGCCTGGGTGACAGAGCCAGACCCTGTCTCAAAACAAACAAACAAAACAACAAACAAGCCCCCCTAAAACAAAAGGACATTAGGCATTTAAAAGTGTGCCTTATTGTAATAAAAAAATAGCTCAGACCCTCCTCTAGCTATTTGAATCTATCTCTAAATCTTTAAAATAGACATTTTTTTTTAACCTGTAGTAATTCCCCTGTGATTTTTAGTTTTGTTTGGTTTCTAGATGATAGATACACCAGATTCCTCATAACTTATACTCTGGCAATAGGACCATTAGGATTCTGAAAGTATTTCTTCCCGTTTTGACTTACTAGGCTTTCACATCAAGCACTGTGACATGCCTCAGAATTTCTCTCTCTGTGGCCAGGAATAGAACAGTCTAATACATATCACTTTCTTCCCTCTTGCCTGTCCCCTCCCCCTCATACACCTGTACCCCATGATTCCTGCTTTCATGGCAGAACTGTGACTGTGAAGTTGTGTTATTCTTCCAGCAGTGAGCTTCAACAGAAAGGACAGGGCTCCTAAAGGAATAAATTTGTATCTGGTTGCCAGGACCTCCAATGATCTGAGTGTGGTTTTGCTGTCATCAAGAAGCTCGTTTTTTCTCTCTTCCATTAGACTAAATACAAATCTTTGGAATTCTTGCTAATGTTAAAGTAAGAGTTTCCTAGACTTCAGAGTTTAAGTGTAGTCTCATAGGACTTCAGACCTTTTATTATTTTTTCCCCTGGCCTTTTCTTATGGCTATGAATAGAGGAAGTTGGAATGTATCTTTTGTGATTTGCTCTCTTACCTTCTAATTTGAAGAGCTCCTCAATAAGCTAGAATTGTTCCAACTCCAAGCTTCTGCAAAATAAAATTGTTTGTAATCATATACACTTTTGCATTGTTGGCACATGTGCTTGGCTACTTTTTTAATATAAAATACTTTTGGGTACCTTTCGGAGAAGAGGATAATTCAACAATTTATTTAAGAGTTGACTCCTCTGGAGCTTTAATATCATATCAGTTTCTTAGGAAGGCTAGCTGCTGGAAAGTTAATGTGTGATGACCACGTTCTCTGGTTGGGGGTTAATGAGTGCTATGGGCATTTTTTGCTTTAAGTGACTTGATTGGGTACCATCTTTTATGGCACCTGGGAAGCCAATTAATAGAGAAAGTGAGTTATTAATCTTTTCTCAGCTGTGCAAGAAAAAGAGTCAAAACATAACGGGTACATTCTTCTAAGTGTGAAAAATTACCCACTTTGTCTATTTCATATTTCTTAAATTCCAAAATTAATGACTTTTCTGGAAAAATGCATGTATCTCTGTGGACACAGAGTTTATGAATGCAAGGGGGCGTTGCTGGAGAGTTGAAAGGAGGACTTCTGGGTAGGAGAAAAAAACGTACACCTTGAAATGTACATTTTTCATACTTTCACATAATTAGTTTTTCAGAAGGACTATTGTGGAGATAAGCTGCTTTTCTAAAAGCAGCTATATTTAGCTGATGCTAAAACAGGGGTGATAGGTAGTAGTTTTGATTTTAAGTCACTCATAGGTTATTTTGCTGGGCTTTTGGCAATTTTACTTTTGGTTGATAAAACCACATCTCAGATTTAGGTTCCTATGCAACTGCTGGAATACTAAGACATTGTAGATATAGACTCCCTGCTGGCTTCCTACTGACAGGACACCTGATTGGTGACCTGTACTTCTTACTGTTCCACACATTTGTATCTTTCTTATACTGCTTGTTCTGCTAGGAGCACTCTCACCACCTTTACCTGGGAAACCTTGTTCATTCTTTAAGAATCAGCTCAGTCACCATCTCCTCCTGGAAAGTCATGACTGAGGCTCCAGATTGAGTTCAGTGCACTTCTGTTATAATCTGGCTCCTCCCCTTATGGAATTTGACTAGAATTGTAACGATCTGTCCCTGTGTCCATCTTTACTATTAGAATATTAATTTTTCTAGGCAATGTGACTTACGCTGCCCTAGAAAGACTGCTAGGATATTCTAACACCCATCACAGTGCCCAAAAATGTTTTTTGAGTTCAACCAAGACCATGATTACAATGGAATTATGAAGGTCTGCATTCAGATTCCTTGGTGGCAGTCTGCCTAGCAGGCACAGGGTAGATGAGGGGAGTCTGTTCCCAGGCGAGTTGTTGGCTGCTTTTGCATGAAGTAAGATCAAGTAAGATCAGAGTGGTTGTCATTTGACAAATTCCTTTCAAGCAATTGCTTCCATGTGTCAGAAATGGTTACAACAATTGCTACCATTATGCATTAATGATAATGCATTAACAATAATGCTTATAGCATTTGATTTCCTATAAAGTATTTTTCAAATATTTGTTATATCATTTGATACTAACAATGACATTGAGAAGCAAGGATTCCTTTTTATTACATTTTGCAGGTGAGAAAACTGATCCTGGAATGGATTCATTCATTCAACAAAATTTTGAGTGTATACTATGAGCTAGGCTCTGAGGCACGGGAAAGTAAATAAGACAAATATGGTCCCAATCTACACAGAGCTTACATTTTAATGGGAAAGACAGACCCTAAAAATTAATTACACAATTAATTGTTTAATTACAGCCCTGATTAGTGCTGTGAAGAATTAAGTACGTGTTTGTACACATAAAAGAGAGAACATGAGACCAGTGGAGCAGATCTTGTATGAAGAGTTAGAAAAATAACTTGTATAAGGGATGGGTATGTTGAAATAAAGGAAGGGGCAGGAGTTATCTGGGGAAGGGAAATGAGGAATCAGGGCATGGGAAGGAGATTTACACCTTTGAGCAGCTAAAAGGAAAAGTGTAGGGAACCCTGGGAGAGTGGGAGGAAACAGAGCAGGTGATAGGCAGATGAAAAAAAAAATTAGTGGGTTTTGTTAGTAAGAAGCACACGAAGACTGTTAGGTTTGTCTTTTACCGCAACTTCAAGCAATGGCTTTGGGGGAAAATGACTTGACATAAAAAGAGGAGAAGGGAGTTGGCCAGAAAAGTAACCACAGAGCCTGAGATAATGCAAAGCACCAAACGTTTTCAGATCTTAGAAGCCTTTTAACACATTTAAAGATGTTTATTTACATCCCTATTCCATGGTGATGAAAGCTGACCATGAGCTGGGTCATCTCAATTTTCTTTCCTATTGAGTTTCATTGTGGGGTGTTCACTCCAAGTTTTCCCAGGTCTTGTTGTAGCCGGTGAAAAGCTATGAACATTCTCAGCCTCATTTTAACTAAATTAACTAGACTTACAACCTCAGTGTCAGCGAACAATGAAAGCTTACCACTGAACATATAAAACAAAAATGAAATTAGCCAGCGGTAGGAGACTACAAACAGCTGAGGCATTCAATTGTTAGCTATTTGAAGGATTAATTTCTAAATCATGTAGAGCTCCCTTGGTAGTTTAACTAGTTGGACACTCAAGGGTATATAAAAACACACTTAAAGTAGAAATGTATTTCTTCACCTATAAAATAGAGATTTACTGGCAGGTTGTGATATTATTAATACTGGATTTCCTTGCCTTGGCCCGTGAACTTAATCATATTTTCCTTTGCTTTCCTCACTTGCAGTCTTGCAACTAGGTTTCAAAACAGATACTATAGAATCAACTACATCCCCAGTCAGGTAGGAGGACATAACTGTCTAGGTGGACTGCTGAAGAATTGTCTAAAAATCTCTGCTTATTTTTCTGGAATTCTACTCTTGCCCTGTGCTATTGTTTTCCACACCCCAGATTTACACAGCTCATTGAAAATTCAACCAGGCTTAAAGATTTTATTTGATGGTTATTTCAATAATAATTATGGAGGCTGCCAAACTCTCCTTACCCTGTTAAAAAACAAACAAGAAATAAACCTGCCATCATAACAATAAAACTCACCAGTAAGTTGTTTTCACGATATCTTGAAATTCAGTTTGGTGTTTCTTGCAGGATTGGTAGACCTGTTCTGAATTTACAGCCAAAGAAACTCAATTAACGATTACTATCAATTATTTTTGTACATTTCAACAACATTTGTTGAGAACCCAGAAGCTTTTTGAAAAAGAATGTTGGCAACTTGTATTTTAATATTTCATTAAAACAAGTCCACTAGTTCACCTAAGTAAGTGTTTATTCAATTGGAGGCTAATTGAATAATTAGGATTGATGAATTTTATATGGAGTTTTTCTTTTTTTAAACCCAGGTTAGAAGGCAGCTGGAAGAGGCTATTTTCTGACTGTTTCCTATTACCAGAATCTCTCTCTATGTATCTGTATCTATAACTTTCCCCATCCCCAAATCATTTTCAGGAAAGAGCCACAAACTGGCATGTTTCTTTTCTTTCTTTATTTAAAGAGGCCGAAGTGAAAGAGGAAAAAAAAGAGTGGAATCACCAAGAAAACCCCAAACAAATAAAGTGCAAACACAGAGTGACAAGCACACTCAGACTCTGGATTGGTTATGGATGAGACGACAAGTATATGATGAAATTAATGACCCTCTGTCAACTTTTTAGATCTCACTTTTAAAGAGAATGGACCAAAAATCAATAGCCCCCAAACCACCAGTACTCCAGTGAACCAGTCTTTCATTTATCTTGCTGTTGGCACTCAGATAGAAATGCAGCCAAGCACAGCGCAGAGCCTTCACTGGGAGTCATCATCACAGGCAATGTTGGAGCACCCCAGTTAAGGGTCAAAGGTGTGTACCAAGGCTTCTTTGAGAAGGACCTGCTTCTAAATACCAACATCAGTATTCACTTTATTCAGCTGAAGTCCATTTGGCATATGCATATCCAGTGTTTGGGTTTTGAGAGGCTGCCTGTTGGACTGATGGATTCCTAACCCAGCAATAGTAACGGATGGCCAGGGATTCTACTCACTCTGGTTTTATACCTTGATTCTTCAAATGTTATATCTCAAGTGTTCAGATGGCAACAAAATACAACTTTAGAATCAAAGTAAAGTAGACATACAAGTTTTAAAGATGTGAGTTTGTAAGGACATGTGATTTTTACACCATGACTTCATCATGGTTCCTAAGTAGCATAGTGTTTGAAGAACTCTTGTTAGAAAAGGATCAGGTAAAATGTAGAGTTTATATTCAGAATATTATGAGCTAAAGCCCAGAAGAACTGTAATTGAGCAAAAGAAGAAAACATTTAAAACAGCAGATGAGTTGTAATTGAGCTTGTAATTTTTATGGATATTCTTAGAAGTAATCACTTATCTCCAAGATTGAATTTTCTAGAAATAAAATTGTTTAGTATATCATGAGGATTTTCTTATGGTGAGAAAGTCATATTAAAATGTGAAAGATAAATTAATCTACACCAAGTGTTCAATAGCTCTGTTAACAGCTGAGGCCAAAGTGAAATGAAGTGATGTCATTATGTTAAAATGGATGTCGACACATACAGAAAAAATCAGTGTAAAATGAGAGAGATCACATTTTGATGATAATCTAAGACAAGCAAAGTGTTGGCCATTTATCTGGCTTTGTCCAAATGGAATTTAATCAATGGCTGTCTTTAAGGTTTTTATTTTATTTTATTTATATAATGAATACTTATAGAGAACTTACTGTGTGCCAGCCACTATTCTGAGCACTTTATACATATTAAATAACAATACTAGGAATATGAAATAACAATTAAATAACAATACTAGGAAACAGATATTATTATCCCAGTTTTACAAATGTGCAAAAAGCACAGAGAGGTTAAGTAACTTGCCCAAGGGCACACGGCTAATTAGTGACAAAGCTGAGATTAAAACCCAGGCAGTTCAGCCCCAGAATTCATGCTCTTAACCTTTAAACAAGGCTGTCTTAAGAATGAAGAACTTAAAACATCAGAGGGAACTTAAATAAAGTACGAATATATAGGTGAAAAGAGCTTAAATTGAGAAATTTGTTAGTAATAAGAATTTTGTTTTTATTCTGATTCTAATATAAGTATTCATTGTAAGATTTTTAAAAGAAAAAATTCTTCCACATAAAAAAGAGGTGAATTGAGGAAACATTTTCAACATTTTAAATATTAAATATATTTGGCTTGATATTTGGAGCCTGACACAGTGACAGTAAGGAGAGAAAATCAGTAAACACTAAAAATTTACTATTTAATGTTTAATTTAATTTCTTAGTAGAAGAAAGAAAATTTGAATTTTGTATTCTCAACAAAGACAAAGATCTGATGATTATGACCATGAACAATGGTGGAGTTGCTCTTCTTCTCACCTGAATTGGGATAGCTGTATACAGAGGGAAGTTATACTGTATTATAAATTGATATAGAAGAAAAATACCGTTTAAAGGGATACATATGACCATAAAGCTCAATAGATTTAAATGAATAATATACAGTAATCCATCAGTTTCCTGAAGAACTTTCCCCACTTTTCCCCATGTAATGCCCTCCTAATTTGCTTTTTCAAATCCAGTGAGAATTAGAAAAAGCAGGTAGAATGAGAGTGAATAAAAGTAATAAGCAATGAATGAGGGTCCGTGGTGCTTTTCGAAAACTAGAGGGTGTGAGATCTACACGGCGAGACATCCTGATGGACAACAAGGAAGATTTTTTGGATAGTGTTTTGAGATTTTCTTTTGTTTCCAATCCAACAAAGAATCTTGCTGTTATGAAAAGGATCACAGAGATATGTTTTACATTTAAATGCCCATGCCAAGTGTAACTACATTTTTACATTCCAAAATTTAACAGACAACTGTTTTGAAATGCTTTCAAAACAAAAATGTTCCGTGTCTCAACTGCTTTGGAAATGTTAGCAAAACTCCAAATGTAAATCTTTAATATGGCCATATGCAAGAATCCTCACACAAATGTTGTCTCAGGTGATAATAGGAATAGCATCATTACCTTGGATGTCCTGGCTCTGACATCCGTTGTGCTGTTGCTCTCAAGGGTTCTTTGGCCGGTGAGGTGGGCATGTGAGTCTTCTCTTCTGCCTGGTTTCCACTCTGTGGGTGTCTCTCAGCAAGCTTTGCAGAAACTTCGCAGATTAAGGAGGAACCTTCATTAGTCAAGGGCACATATCCCTTGAAGAAAAATAGGTGAATTAAAAAAAATTTTTTTGCAGTCGTACTTTTAGTTCTCCTAACAAAATTATATTTGATAAAAATATGATAGGCATCTGCACTTGATATCTGACACCATGACAGTGAAGGTGCAAATTACCATTTAAGAGGAAACAAAGGCCATCTTATTGCACTCTCCCAATTACTCCCAAATCCAATGGCAATTGGAGAAATGAAAAAAATTAAACGTATAACTTGATACATGTAAATATTTAAGGTTTTACTATCAAAGTAGAACAAGTTACACAGAATTTCTCATATGGCTACATCATCTAAATGAAAAGTTCAAATACATTTGAGGATGACCTTAGAGTTTAAAATATAATAATTTTCTTATTTTTATTCTGTTCCCATTCATACTGATTGAAGCTCATCTATCTGGAGGCAGAATCCACCTCCCTTGTTCATTTTATCCTTTAAGTAGAGATGACACTCAGCTGCTTAAATATTGCTTAACACCTTTAGCAAAACCAGATGCCAAGCTCCATTTTGTACACTTTTTTTCAGTTGAAATAACTAACTTAACCATTACAAATTAGTCTTTAAAACAAACCATCTGAACAACAAACTAAGTATGCCTAGGGAACAGATGGAGTTTTTATGTTTTCACATGAGCATCAAGCTAATATCTGTGCAAGATGAATGATGCCATATAGGAATCTCTGCTTAATCCTTCCATTTCCCAGTGGGGTGGTTTCTTTTTTAATGCCCGGTGCCTGGGAAAGGGAGTCCATTTCCTTATACTTAACTTGCAT